>NC_000022.11:34012594-34164109 GCF_000001405.40 Homo sapiens | reverse complement strand
AACACCAGCCCAGTTCAGCTTCCTACACACTGTGCTCTTTCTTGTCTTCATTCCTTTGCTCCTGTTGCTTCTCCTGAAATGGCTGATCCATGGCTGTCTGCCTGGCTAACTCTTTAGCTCTCCATTTTGCTGCCTTTTGCATACTTCTGCTGTTCCATATATACCTTATTTTGCTATAATCATGGATTTGTCTCTCTACTCTTCCATATAGGAGCTCCTTGGGTATGGGAGCCACATTCTAGTGATCTGTAATTTCTGCCATATGATTATGTGCCAGGAATCCTCCAAATCTTTGTTGAATAAAATGAGTGGATAAATGAATGAATACAATGAAAGTGCCTACCTCATACAAGGTTCTTATTCTTTAGCAAATTTACCCAGAGGAAGTTCTAGTGTATCTTTAAAGGATTAAAACAAAGTCAACTTGAAATTGAAAATGGGTTATACTGATAGCCTACCTATTCCTTCTCTAATCTTCCCATTTTGAGTTATTAGAAGATTTAAAATGTTAGCACTCATTAATAATGATGATTTTTGTGGCAGAGAGAGGAGAAAATCTGGAAGCAGAAGCATAGTTTGATTCACCAATAATTGATGATAATTTTTAAATGCCGGCCTAACACATTTATTTATTATTATTTAAATTGCCTGCATATCTAAATTTATTTTAAGTTATGGGATCTCAGTCTTTGTCCAGATTTTTTCATTTTGTTATTCCTTGAATATTGTTTAACTACTCTATGTGTGTGTGGCAGATGAGAGATATTCCCTTGTGTCCCTTTTTGCAAAGGAAATATTGATATTTCATTTTGTAGAAGAAATTATATGATTATACAAAGACAATAAATGGATTTATCTGGTTTCAAATGCTACTGGAAAAAAATTGTTTCTGCCAGATTCTTGACATTTTCCTGTTCCAGAAGAAATTCCCACTTAGTCTAATTAGGTTTTCTCTTCTTTACTGGGTCTCCATCACTCAGTTTCCAGCTGGGTGATACATTAGACAGGGTTTTCTAATTACCTCTGTTTTGTAGCCTCCTTACCTGCAAGTGGCCGATGAATGCTTGCCCAAGCCGGGTTGCTGATCTCCACTGACCAGTGACCTAAACCTCCAATCTGTTTGTTCTCTCTCTTACCATTAGGGAATAAAGCACAGAGACCCACACCGTACATTGCAAAGAATATCACCAAATATAGGCTGCTCAAAGAATCAACATTCCGGAGGTAGGGTTTCATTTTTGAACTTTCTCTTCTCAAAGCCTCTTTGGCACAAGATTTCTCAATCAGGTCATCCCAGCCCACCAGCAGTTCTTCATGCTCCACCTTATAGAACCACTAGCTGACAGCTACTAACTGCTCCTCTCTTGAACACATCAGCAGCTCACAGGAATTTTCAACAACTAGAATAAGTGTATAATTTATCATCCAAATTAGGGCACTTTTGGAAGTTGAAGTGGACACTATTACAATTACAGCAGGAAACCAAGTATAAACCAGGACAGCCCCCATCAATAACCCTATCAATAACTGACCTAAGCAATTTTATATTCCTCTTGTTAACCCCTGTTCTTGCTGCTCAAGTCCAGTTGGTAGGCTTTGTGGTCACGTCCCATGAAACATGACCCAGTTCTTGCTATGACTCTCACTATTTGCTTCTATAGCATCCCAGATCCTCTAATCACAGAGGTCTCCTTCATCACAAATTCAGTGTTTTGTGTTCTCCCCTAGACTAAATGTTAGATGACAGCAGAAAGTGGGTCTTTCTTATGTCCCTAAAACCTAGCACAGTTCCTAGAATACAGTAGGCCTTTAATAAATACTTGTTTTGCTCTTGAATAGAAAGTACCTACCATGTAACATGGCTCACTCTTGGCTCAGTGAAGACCTCTAGATCATGGTGATAAAGATGATGACAATGTACCCATTCATTCATCAATTTATTTTTCCAGCCATTTAAATAAATATTTATTGAGCACCTATTATATACCAGCCACTATATCTTCATGTGTGTGTAAACTAAGGGGTATTTGGTGTCTGTAACCTTGTTTTACATTCTCTTCTAAAGTGAATCAGCTGATATCCTGTCTATCTTCTCCCTTTCCATTTCTAAGTTTTCATTTTCCCTTTGCTGTTTTTGCTACCCAAAACACTATGCCTGTTTTCTAGTTATAAAGGTTATGTATATATTTTAACTCGGTCAGCAGATTTTGATCCTGATAAACCACAATGGGATAATATGATAGACTAAACCTAGACAGTCACAATTAATTCATAAACAGACTTAATTTAATTTCCCTTCTCCAATAAACCCAATTTACCTCAGTGGAGGTGTGACACGTTTGATTAGACACAGTGATGCTGAGAGCAGCTAGCCTTACAGAGAAAGGGCTGTGTGTGCAGAGCGATAAGAGATCAAAGCTGAGTAGATTCCTCGGCTGCGTGCTTAGTTGTAATTCTGCAGAACCTCCAGTTCAGTTGTCCCTTGGTTGCTCTTTAATTGGAGAGATAATTACGCTGGGAGGGGGTGGAGAAGAGGAGCCAGGGTCAATCCTTACTTAGCATCGGAATTACAGAGAGAGAAAAGACTAGTTCAAGGAAATAATCTTCCTAATTCTTGAATGCTAAACTCCAAGTCAAAGCGGTCAGAATTCAGTTCCCTTGGAGTCCTGCTGCGGAGAAAAGGATGGTGCTTCAAAGAGACATTTTTCTCAAGAGCGTTTAGACACTGAGCATTGTTAATGCAATTTCAATTTGTAATTGTACTATGCAAATTATTTTTTTAATTGAACAAGTGTTGATTAGGTACCTATATAATACATGGGGCACAGAGGGTTTGACCACAGTTTGGACCTACTCTGGATGTTGAGAGAAGAAAAATTAATAAGACACACCAGTTATTTGATTCATTCTCAAAAATTTAGGAGGTTGAGGGTCGCAGCTGGATTTCTTCTCTCCAATCATCATTGGTGAATTTCTTCCAAAAACCTTTAGATATTTGAGCACTTATTCTCTGTGGGGGTGTTTTAATCTTTAGTATTAATCCCATGACATGATCAAGATAGCTGACTCTGTATTTTAATTTCTTGCTTCTGCCCTGAGCTATGCAAACTTAGGCAAGCTACTGAACCTCTCTGAGCCTCAGTTATCTGCTCCAGACAAATGAGGATAATGACCTGCCAAAAGCAGATCAAATGACACAAGTAACAAAAAGTACCACTTCATATGTACTCAATAGAACGTAGTGCCTTTCTTTTCCAGGCATTGCTACAATGCTAACTTGCCAGGCCCTCATGTACTGCCCATGGAAATATTTCAGACAATTTCCAGATTAAGCAAGGAAGCATCACAATCAGGGGTCTGAAAATGATAGCAGGAAAAAGAAAGAAAAAAAAAACACCTCTTAATTGTGACTTTGTTGAACAGAACTGAATTTTAATTAAGCAACATGACGGGAGACACCATGCATTTCCGAGCAATTATGGAGGACCACAGGGGTGCTGTAAAATCCCAGCCTGAAGATTGAGTGGCTTTAGAAGTTTACCAACTCCCACTGAAACACAGAGCCCAGGATGTCTTGTTCCCAACAGGGAGTGTTATTTGTCAATGAAAATAAGAGAGAACCCTGGCAGCAAGACCAAGAGGGTCATCAGGGGGAAAAGTTGAATTCTTTTGTCTGAACAGAATGATCCAGAGCTTTTTCCATCTGGTGCTGAGAAAAAGCTCCTGATCCTGATGGATGGGTTTTAATATCTTGTCTGCAGTCAGCTCCACCCATGTCAGCACCAAGACCAGCAGCAAAAACAGAGCAGGTCGCGTGCAAGGAGGGATGGAAGAGCTGGAAAGCTAAGGCTGTCAGTGGCATAGTCAGTTTGCTAGCCTATTCTAAAAGTAACTCCTCCTGCACTTTGTTTCTTGCTACACTTACATCTAACTGCCTGTTTGCTAGAAAATTCCAAAGCCTGGCCAGGCACAGTGGCTCATGCCTATAATCCCAGCACTTTGGGAGGCTGAGGCAGGTGGATCACCTGAGGTCAGGAGTTCGAGACCAGCCTGGCCAACACGGTGAAACCCTGTCTCTACTAAAAATACAGAAAATTAGCTGGGTGTGGTGTCAGGCACCTGTAATCCCAGCTATTTGGGAGGTTGAGGCAGGAGAATCACTTGAACCTGGCAGGCAGAGGTTGCAGTGAGCTTTTGCAAGCCATTGCACTCCACCCTGAGCAACAAAAGTGAAAGTCCATTTCAAAAATAATAAATAAATAAAAGGAAAATTCCAAAGACCAATCTTAAAACAATCCAGGCATGAAGCAGAGATGACAGTTGCAATTTTCTCCCTTCTGAGAAGAAATCTGTGTGCCGTTAATCCATAACCCAATCCCTGCCGAGATGATGTCAACCGAGCCTCTGGATGGTCTATTACTCAAGGGAGACATCAGGCCAGGCGTGATGGCTCACGCCTGTAATCCCAGCATTTTGGGAGGCCAAGGTGGATGAATCACTTGAGATCAGGAGTTTGATACCACCCTGGCCAACATGGCGAAACTCTGTCTCTACTAAAACTACAAAAATAAGCCGGTCATGGCGGCACATGCCTGTAATCCCAGCTACTCAGGAGGCTGAGGTAGAAGAATCGCTTGAACCTGGGAGGCAGAGGTTGCAGTGAGCTGAGATTACACCACCGCACTCTAGCCTGGACGACAGAGCGAGACTCCGTCTAAAAAAAAAAAAAAAGAGCCCTCAGAAAATGACAAGCAAACCTACACCCCATGCCACTCCTGCTGAGAGTTTTCCTGCCACATATCCCCTTAACACCTCTATAGCCAGCCTGAGAATTTGAGACTTAAGTCTGGCCATCTCCCAACCTGCTAACACTTGAATAGTCCAAACTGCTTTCCTTCCACCAAACCCCGTTTCCTGTGTGTCTGCCTGTTCGAGTAGAGAGCAGCCCAATCTGAGTTCAGTCACAAGGCTGTCTGGGAGTCTAGGATAGTGAATCAGTAGAGGATATGGATGGAGCAGAGGAATGGGCAAACCCAGAACGGGTCCAGAATCTGGCAACGGAGGCAAAGTTAGGAACCAGGCATAAGTTCGCGAGTGGGAATGCAGATGATATTTCACTGTCCATTCATCTCCTCAGAATGATGCCTGCCTATGTGCCACGCATTGTGCTGAGTTCTTTATATAAATAAAATGAAGTGAGGCTCATTATACCCATTTAACAGAAATAGAAACTGAGGCTCAGAGAGAGGAAATATATCAATTTGTGAATTTCTCCAAAGTTATACAGCTAGTAACTGAAGAGTGAGGATTTCCACCCAAGCGTTTGATTCAAAACCTACAACCATGATCATTGTTATTATGAAATATAATCCATGCCTTCAGTGAAATCCAAAATTCAGAGGAGACTGTTTCAAAAGGAAGGCAAACTGAGGTCAGAGTGTATACAAAGAGTGAGGATGAAGTTGCCACTTCGATCAGGATCCAAAAAGTATGGCTAAATTTTTAAAGAGTGTTTAAATAGCCATGTAAGGCTAAAGATGGCATTCCGGACCATTCAGATGGTCCAGAATGCTCGAGTGTTGTCTGAGTAGGAGGAGTTAGGATCAGGCAAGGAGACCAACCAGCCAGGAGAAGCTTCACATTGTGTCTACTCTTTGCCTCAGCCTGGGAGTGCTGTATTCTCCCTGCTGAGAAGGAGCCTATCCTCGGGGTTTTTTTTCTCTTTTTTTTTTTTTGAGACGGAGTCTCGCTCTATCGCCCAAGCTGGAGTGCAGCGGCTCCATCTCGGCTCACTGCAAACTCCGCCTCCCGGGTTCACACCCTTCTCCTGCCTCAGCCTCCCGAGTAGCTGGGACTACAGACACCTGCCACCACGCCCGGCTAATTTTTTGTATTTTTAGCAGAGACGGGGTTTCACCGTGTTAGCCAGGATGGTCTCGATCTCTTGACCTCTTGATCTGCCCACTTCAGCCTCCTAAAGTGCTGGGATTACAGGCGTGAGCCACCACACCCGGCCTCCTCAGGGTTTTTTAACTACTCCCTGGAGTGCTTCTTTGCCTTGTCTATCCAGATAATTCTTCCTGATTCAAAAGCAGAGATGGAAAACCAGCAACCCACAGCACCTTGCAGCTGGAATTATTTAGCCAGTACACTGTTCTTTTTTTTTTTTCTTGAGACAGAGTCTCTCTCTGTCGCCCAGGCTGGAGTGCAGTGGAGCAACCTCGGTTTACTGCAACCTCCGCCTCCCAGGTTCAAGCGATTCTCCTGCCTCAGCGTCCCAAGTAGCTGGGATTACAGGCTCCTGCCACCGCACTGAGCTAATTTTTTGGATTTTTAGTAGAGACAGAGTTTCACCGTGTTAACCAGGATGGTCTCGATCTCCTGACCTCGTGATCCACCCACCTCGGCCTCCCAAAGTGCTGGGATTACAGGCATGAGCCACCACGCCCAGGCCCAATGTTCTTTAAAGCTTTAATCTGCATGCCCTTTGGAAAATACAGGTGTTCTCCAGTTGCATGAGGCATTCCCACTCCCTATTATCCTGTATCTGATCACTTTAAGTATTCATTTTTCCATCTTGGTTCCTGGAAACATCTAAGTTAGTAAGTCCAGTTTAAGGTACCCCCACCTCCATGAAGGTGCCTGTGATCACCCAATCAGAACCACATGCTGGCCTCCGCGTGCCCCCAGCACTTTGTACCGCACTCTGTCATAGAGTTCATCCCACCGCCCTTAAGCTTGTAGGTTTGTCTCCCGTATTAGACTGTGAGTGTGCGGGACAAGCTCCTAGCCTAGTTTATGTCTCCAGAACTCAGCGTAATTTGTGGAACTCAGAAGTGGCTCACTAAATGTCTGGTCAATGGATGAGTATATGGGCCTTGGAGAATTTCCCTGCCTAAGTGCAAAATTGTGAGACCCAGAGACAGGACGATTTTGGAGATGGCAACTCATTGGCTGTTCTCATAGAAATCTATACAGCCAGTGCTATTTTCAGCCCAAGACTAAGAGTTTGGACCTCAGATAATTGCCCTCTTGCTGTAAATATGCTGCTGATTACGGTAGAGAGTCCATCATTTAGCACAGGGGCTCATGGCTGGAGCCATTGACAATGGCGGACAAGCTGATGGGAGCCAATCTGGAACTTTCTCTATTCCCAGCTTCTTCTTGCAGACTGTGTAAGAGTCCACTAGAGGGGCCAGAATAAAATACCGCAGACTGGGTGGCTAAAGCAACAAAAATTTATTTTCTAACAAATCTGGAAGTTAGATATTTGAGCCCCAGGTGTTAGCAAGTTTGGTTTCTTCAGAGGCCCCTCTCCTTGGCCTGTAGATGTTCACCTTCTCATTGTGTCTTCATATGGGCTTTCTTCTGTGTGTGCACGTGTCTGTGTCCAAATTATCCCTTCTAATGAAGACAACAGTTTTTTTGTGTTTTTCCTTCCCAGTACTACCTTCTTTGAGACATCAGTTGTATTGTATTAGGGCTCACTTTAAAGACCTCACTTTAACTTAATTATCTCTTTAAAGAACTTATCTTCAAACACAGTCACATTCTGAGGTACTGGAAATTAGGACTTGAACATATGAATTTTAAGGGTACAAAACTGAGCCCCTAACACAGTGAGTATTGTTGCTGGCATTCAGCTTACATAAGCCCAGGAGGAAGATCCAGTTATATCACTTGCGTGCACACGGCCATCAGAAAATCATATAAATTAGATTAATATAGAAGTTGTATATAGATTAAGTCATCTAAATTAGATTAATATAGAAACTGTATATAGATTAAATCATCTAAATTAGATTAACATAGAAAGTGTGGGCCAAGCATGATGGCTCACACCTATGATCCCAGCAGTTTGGGAGGCTGAGTCGGGCAGATCCCTTGAGGTCAGGAGTTCGAGACCAGCTTGGAAAATATGGTGAAATCCCGTCTCTACTAAAAATACAAAAATTAGCTGGGTATGGTGGCACATGCCTGTAATCCCAGCTACTCGGGAGGCTGAGGTGAGAGAATTGCTTGAGCCCAGGAGGCGGAGGTTGCAGTGAGCTGAGACTGGGCCACTGCACTCCTGCCTAGGTGACAGAGTGAGACTCTGTGTTGAAAGAAGGAAGGAAGGAAGGAAAGGAAGGAAGGAAGGAAGAAGGAAGGAGAAGGAAGGAGGGGACAGAGAGAAAGAGAGAGAGAAAGAGAGAGAAAGAAAGAAAGAAAGAAAAGAAAGAAAAGAAAAGAAAAGAAAAGAAAAGAAAAGAAAGAAAATGTGGAAGTTATACACACGGCAGTAAGTGATACAGGTAGGAAGATGTAGTGAAAAGTAACCTTGGGCCAGGCGCAGTGGCTCATGCCTGTAACCCCAGTACTTTGGGAGGCCGAGGTGGATTGCCTGAGGTTGGGAGTTCAAGACCAGCCTGAACAACATGGAGAAACTCCACCTCTACTAAAAATACAAAAATTAGCCAGGCATGGTAGTGCATGCCTGTAATCCCAACTACTCAGGAGGCTGAGGCAGGAGAATCCCTTGAACCCAGGAGGCGGAGGTTGCAGTGAGCCAAGATCATGCCATTGCACTCCAGCTTGGGCAACAGAGCAAGACTCCATCTCAAAAAAAAAAAAAAAAAAAAAAAAGTAACCTTGGACGACCAACCAGAACACTTGAGATTGAGCCCAGGGGTACACAATAACTGTGTGAACTTTGACATGTTGATTAGCCTGTATGGGATATGTAGTGGGATGGTGAGGGAGAGCCACCAAAGACATAAAGTCCAATTCAAAATAGCAGAAAAAGGGATCTTGCTGACCTATGTCACAGAAAAGAAAAACAGGGGTAAATTGAGCTTCAGATATGCCTTGATCCAAGTTCTTGGGTGGCATCAATAGAAATGTTTCTTTTCATCTGTTGGCTCTGCTTTTCTTGGTGTTGACTTCATTCTCCGATGGGTTCTCTTCAATTGATTGCCCCTAGAAACCCCAGGCTTACATATCCCTGAACTCAATCCAGCCAAGAAGAGAAGTCCTTCCTCCTCATAGCCCCAGAAGTCATGAGATTACCTCTGATGCATATTTTGGATTACAAAGTTACATCTGGAGCTGGAGGTTAAGTCAGCTCACCTTGAACTTCACAGAGAAACTCTAGGCTTTGTCTTTGGTTCTCTTTGCTCTGTCTACAATTCTTCCTTAGGTGATTTCATCTAGTCCCACAGCTTTAAATAGCATCGATATCTGGAAGACTCTCAGTATATACCTGTAGCTCTGACCTGTCTCCTGAACTCCAGACTTGTGTATGGAACTGTCTCCTACACAAATTTGTGCTTACATGTCTATTATTCATCTCAAATTTTAATTTTTTAAAATGGTATATTTGGGTTGCAGCCCCATTCTTCTCTGAGTCTTCCCCATTTCATTAAATGGCACCACCATCCACCTAATTGTTCAAGGCAAAATCTGAGAGATCACCTTGATGTCTTTCTACCTCTACATTCCAAGTCCAATCCACCAGCAAGTTCTTTTAGCTCCTCCTTCAAAATACCTCTTACATCTCACTTTGCAGTATCCTCCCAACTGAACTCCTGGCAAAAAACTCCTCTTTTGCTTCCTATAGTTTCTTCTCCACATAGTAGCTTGAGTAATCTTTAAAAAATATAAATCTCCCTGCTACCCAAAACCCTCCAATGGCATACATGCCATTCAGAATAAGATCCAAATTCCAGCTGGGCACGGTGGCTCACGCCTATAAACCCAGCAATTTGGGAGGCTGAGGTGGGTGGGTCACTTGAGGCCAGGAGTTCAAGACCAACCCAGCCAATACAGTGAAACCCAGTCTCTACTAAAAATACTAAAAATTAGCCAGGTGTGGTGGTGCACACCTGTAATCCTAGCTACTTGGGAGGCTGAGGCATGAGAATCTCTTGAACCTGGGAGGCAGAGGTTACAGTGAGCCGAGATTGAGATCAAACCACTGCACTCCAGCCTTGGTGACAGAGGTAGACTCTGTCCCAAAAGATAAATAAATAAATAAGATCTAAATTCCTTTCTGAGACCCACAAGATCCTACATGATACAGATCCTTTTTTTTTTTTTTTTTTTTTTTTTTTTTTTTTTTTTTTTTTTTTGAGATAGAGTCTTGCTCTGTGGCCCAGGCTGGAGTGCAGTGGCGCAATCTCCACTCACTGCAAGCTCCGCCTCCCAGGTTCACACCATTCTCCTGCCTCAGCCTCCTCAGTAGCTGGGATTACAGGTGCCCACCACCACGCCCGGCTAATATTTTTTGTATTTTTTAGTACAGACGGGGTTTCACCGTGTTAGCCAGGATGGTCTCGATCTCCCGACCTCGTGATCCGCCCACCTTGGCCTCCCAAAGTGCTGGGATTACAGACGTGAGCCACTGTGCCCGGCCCAGATCCCACTTTTATCTCTCTGCTCTCATCTTATTCCACTCACCCTTCTTCATTCTTGCTCAGCAACACTGAACATCTTACAATTTCTTGAAAATGCCGAGCTTGCTGCCACCACAGGGATCCACACTTGCTTTGCTCTCTACCTGGAATGTTCATCCCTAGAACTATCCCTTACTTTATTCAGTTTTCCAAATCAGTGAATTTCCTCAGTGAAAATTCCCCAACACATATTCCTTTTCTCCAGTCTTCCCCAGTCAAATTCTACGCTTTACCTACTTTAATGTTCTTGATAAGATTGATCACTTCCATAAATTATATATTTATTTCCTGTCTTCCCCACCATCATAGATTCCATGGGGACAGGGATCTTATCTGTCTGGCTCACACTATATCCCTAATACTGATGATAGTACCAAGCATATCACAGGGCCTCAGCAAACATTTGTTGAAGGAAAGACTGAGGATGGGTAGTTATCTTTTGAAAAAAAAATTATGGTGATTATATTGGAAGAAGGAGAAATGAATGTTAGGGAGATACTGGCCACACTCTATCCCTACATAAAAATATCTAATAATCAGGTCAACCCAGTTCCTGAGAATTCCCATAACTAAGAGGTACCATATATAATAACACACATAAAAGTTCAGGCTTTTCCTCACTGATCCAAAATACTGGGTTTATTCAATAACTTAAGTTCAGGAAAAACTACTGAGGTTGATTGAGGCTGAGGCTTGGGGTTATACAGACTCTTGGCTAAGAAGTTCAAAAGTGAACTAGGAATTTGTGAAGGAGAAAATGGGAGACACCAGGGGTGAATCTGCTTGCACCACCCTCCATCATGCGTTTCGTGTTAGCATCAGAACATTTTGATTGGACATTTTGATTTTTTCTTTTCTACACAAGCAGAATGATAGGATGGGTATTTAAGACAGTAAAGAGTCTATCATTCTGAATGGGGCTGATTTGATTTCGTATATACAAGTTGAACTACTTAGAATACATGAACTAGATCATTCTCTTCCTATAAATACAACAGAGCAGCCTAACCTATTTTCAGATTATGTGACACCCTTTTTTTCCTCCTGAAGCTTGCATTGAGTCTGACTTTAGGAGCAGGTGATCAACAATGTGGCCTCATTTGCAATGATAAAAGGCTGACATTTTTTTTTTTTTGCCTGTTTTCCTTACTCTCTTTCAATCAATTGCCTTGAAATTTTAGAGATAGTTTCATTGATTTCCCAGATCTCTCCATCAACCCTTCTATCAATACTGAGTTCAAAGTTACCGGAGGTACCATTTGTCTTATTGATGTAATTCCTCCTACTTTTACTAGAGTAGCTTTAATCAATTTTCTTAATAATACTACTGGAATCTTTCCACATCCTTCCCCTCCCTCGATTCCCAACTACACTTCAACTTTAACTCACCTTAAAATCATTCACTCTTTCTCAGAACATTCTGAAAACCTGCACTCTCAAGAATGAACTGTCTCTTGATTATCTCTGAGCTGAGAGTATTCAATGTTCAATGAGTATTTTTTTTACACTATTTAAGAAGGTACGAGCTTAGGGAGTCTTTATTTCCAGTGTTTACATGTTCTTTTCATTGCATTGGTCCTAAAGTCCAATCTCACTTTATTTATCTTTCTACTATGAACAACCATTATTTTTACATATTTTAAATCCCTTTCTCTATTATAAGCTTTTTGACAGTAGATATTATGTTTAGCCACACTGCAAGACAGTGGTAATAAGGAAGTGGTTCTGAGACAGTGGACACTGGCTTACCTGCTTTGAGGATGGATGAGGCATCAACACACCCCATCTCCAACAACTGGCCAAAGCCCTCCACTAGAAGATAAGATAAATACAAAGAGCACAGTTCTGCAGAAAGGAGCCATTTTATTTTTTATTTATTTTATTATTATTATTATTAGTATTATTAGTATTATTATTTTGAGACGGAGTCGTGCTCTGTCACCCAGGCTGGAGTGCAGTGGTGCGATCTCGGCTTACTGCAAGCTCCGCCTCCCGGGTTCCCACCATTCTCCTGCCTCAGCCTCTCGAGTAGCTGGGACTACAGGCGCCTGCCACCGCACCCGGCTAATTTTTTATATTTTTAGTAGAGACGGGGTTTCACCGCGTTAGCCATGATGGTCTTGATCTCCTGACCTTGTGATCCGCCCACCTCAGCCTCCCAAAGTCCTGGGATTACAGGCATGAGCCACCGCGTCCAGCCCCTTTTTTTTTTTTTTTTTTGAGACAGGGTCTCACTGTGTTGCCCAGACTGGACTGCAGTGGCGTGATCTTGGCTCACTGCAACCTCTACCTCCCAGCTTCAAGTGATTCTCCTGACTCAGCCTCCTGAGTAGCTGGGATGACAGCCATACACCACCATGCTCAGCTAATTTTTGTATTTTTAGTAGAGAAGGGGTTTCACCATGTTGGCCAGACTGATCCTGAACTCCTGGCCTCAAGTGATCCACTCGCCTCAGCCTCCCAAAGTGCTGGGACTACAGGCAAGCCACCGTGCCTGGCCAGAAAGGAGCCATCTTCTTGTTGAACAGCCCTGGACTGTAGAGAAGGCAGACTCAATTGAGATCTGCCTCCCTCTGACTTTCATCACTGAACCCATTTTGCCCTCTGGAGTGATAGGGAATTTTTTTTTTTAAGTTTCTGACTTCCCTAGGGAGTGCTTCAGACATTTTAAAACCATGATTATATCCTACCTATGTATACTCTTTTTCAAGTTAAATCTATCATGTGTGCACTGCTTTATAGATTATAAAACACTTTCGACATATATTAATGTGCTTAACCCTTCCCACAGTCAAATGAGATGAGAATATTTTCTCACTTCGTAGGAGAGGAAACAGTTTCATGGAGGTTAGGTGGTTTTCTAGGACAGAGTTTAAATTCAAAGCCAAGAATTTGGAATGCATTTCTACCCCAGCTGAAGGAAGCACATGAAAAATTAGGGGCAGAGACACTTTGTATCAGGAACTGGTGGTTCCCAAGAATCCATTCTCCCCTTCTTCTATAACACCAAACCCTCCAAATTTTAGCTAGGCACATGGCCACCCAAAATAAAAACATTTTCTGGCCTCCTTGGCAACCAATTATAGTGTGTGACTAAGTTCTAGCAAAGAGACATAAGAAAGTAGTGTCTGATTTCTAGAATAAATCCATTCATAAAAAACCGTGCCCTTCTCTTCTGTCTATCCTTCCTTCTCCTGGTTGAAATGCTGATGGGTTGGCAGGACCTGAACAGCCATCATGGAGGCTGTTATTCTAAGTGAAGTAATTCAGGAATGGAAAAACCAAATATTGTATGTTCTCACTTATAAGTGGGAGCTAAGCTATGAGGCTGCAAAGGCATAAGAATGATATCATGGATTTGGGGGACTAGGGGGGAAAGGATGGGAGTGGGGAGAGGGATAAAAGCCTATTGGGTATACTGGGTACAGTGTACACTGCTTGGGTAATAGGTAAACACTGTTTTGAAATGGTAGATTAACTAGCTAGACAGGAACAGGTCCCCAGTGATCATACAACTGCCTTGTCCTCTTTGGATTAAATATGTTTATGTGAGGGAGAAATAAACTTTTATCTATTATCTTTAATTTAATATTATGTCTCAAGGTATCTGTCATTTTCAGCCAAATTGATTTTAACTGATATTGTTTCTAAACTTACAAGGAGACCAAACAGTTCAAAATCTTTAGTTTGAAAGGTGCAGGTGGTTTGCCAGAGTCTTGCAAATTGCCACAAACTGCTTTTGCTGCTTGAAAACTGTAAAAATGAGAGGATGTTAAAATCAGAGCTCTACTATGCTATGGAATAGTTATGAAAAGTTGAGGTTGTGTTATTAAAGAATTGCTTACATTAATGCTGCAGCATTCTATTTAAGTTTTTCAAAGGTCGAATCATTGCTTATTATAGAGGTTGATTAGATAATTGGGCTTTGTGTAGTCAGTTTATTTGGTAACAGTTTTATTGAGATACAAATCACATGCCATTCAATTCACCCATTTAAAGTGCACAATTCAATGGTTTTCAGTATTGCCACTGAGTTGTGCAACTATCACCATAATCAATTTTATAACATTGTTTTAACCCCAAAAAGAAACCCCATGTCACTCCCCACTCTTCCATACCCCTCTGCCAGAAGCAATCACTAATTTACTTTTTATTCTCCATGGATTTGCATATTCTGGACATTTAATATAAATGGAATCATACAATGTGAACTTTTGTGGCTGACTTCTTTCACTTATCATAATAATTCCAAGGTTCATGTATGCTATAGCTTGTATCACTCCTTCCTTTTATGACCTAATAATATTTCATTGTATGAAGACACCACATTTTATTTATCCAACCATCAGCTGATGGACATGTGGGTTGGTTCCAATTTAAGGGCATGATAAGTAACTTTCTGTTATGAAGATTCATATATTATTTCATCTTTGAAGATGTGTATTAATATTACAAAGTTCTTATTTATAGTAAACCACAGTTTAGCACTAAGTTACAACTATTGGTTTAATGTCATTTCTTGGTAATTATTTTAGGGGACAAAATATGTTCTTATTAGTAAACTGGAGTTGCAGTCATAGTGCCATGGGAAAAAAACAACATGTATGTAGGGTCAAAGAATAAAAACAGCAACAAAGATACTAATAACAATAATAATAGCAGCAACCCATTACTGAGATTCTTCTATTCATTCAGTTGATGGACCTTAATTTATTTAATAATTCTCCCATTGCTGGTAGATTTTGTTTCCATTTTTATTACATGAAGCTAAATATTTCAACAACCATATTCATGCAAGGTTTTTCTCTCTTCCAGAAATACTTTCTCAGGATAAATTCCCACTACTGGTAAAAACAAAAACAAACAAACAAAAAAACGAAGAAAAGGGTAAATCCTCTTTGAACCTTGATGCTAAACTGCCATATTGATTTTTTTTCTTTTTTTTTTTTTTTGAGATGGAGTCTCATTCTGTTGCCCAGGCCAGAGTGCAATGGTGTAATCTCGGCTCACAGCAACCTCCGCCTTCTGGGTTCAAGCAATTCTCCTGTCTCAGCCTCCAGAGTAGCTGGGACTACAGGTGTGTGCCACCATGCCCGGCTAATTTTTGTATTTTTAATAGAGACAGGGTTTCATCATATTGGTCAGGCCAGTTTTGAACTCCTGACCTCAGGTGATCCGCCCACCTCAGCCTCCCAAAATGCTGGGATTATAGGTGTAAGGCACCAAGCCAGGCCTGCCATATTGATTTCTAAAAGCATTTGGAAATGTTAATTTCAACACACTTCACCAGCAGTGGGTGCTAACTTTTAAAATGTTTACAAATACTGTCAGTAAAAAACACAAACCCTTCAATAATGTCCTAATTTGCATATCTTTGATTACTAGTGAGATTAAACCTTTTTTATTGTTTTGTTGAAGACTAAAGCTGGATTACCTAATAGAATCTTAAAAAAAAATGAATTTAAATGAGTACAAACTTGAACTCAATAGCCTCATGAACAACTGACCAAAGGGTGATAACATGTTTGATTTCAAGATGATTACCTGAAACAAGAGCAAGCCTCGGTGGAATTTCCCAGAAAGGGGTGCAAAGCTCAATTCCATTGAATGTTTCATCTTCATTAGTGATTTAGGAGGAAAGAGTAAACAGTGCTGAAATTAACTTCACAGATGGCTCTCAACTGAGAGGATTGTAAAAAGCAATGAATAATGAGAATTACACAGGGACCAGAAAGGTGAGAACTAGCAATATATAAAAACCAATCTATCCTGGAAAACAAGGTTGCTGGGGCAGGGAAACAGAGGCTTACATTCAGAGAGGTACCACACTTCCACGCCCAACAGACACTCATTCAGCATCTGCTAGGACCTTTGATTCCCCACTCACAACATGCCATCTCATGGACCTGACCACTCACAAATGCTGTTACCTTTGCCTTCATAGCTTGCTCCCTTTTTCATATTCAAATGACTCCTTCTGAGGCTCAGTTCAGACAGAATTTACTTCCTGTAGGTACCTTTCTTGACCTCCAAGCCAAACCCTCCCTGCACCCACTTCTGCACTGACTTTCTCTGCACTTCAACAGCAGCCTGTGTCGAAGCCATTTTAGGACTTCTAAAACCACATTTTGCAGTCCTGGAAAGACAGCTACTGATATATGGTAGTTTTTGAATCCCCTCCCATAAAAAAAATATATGGAGCAACTAAGAAAGCAAAGCCAAAATTCCACAGACAATATCTACAGCAAAACCAGGTGACAAGAAGTCCACACAAACACCAAAATAAGACCCAGAAATGACAAACCATTGCTATTCCTGCTGCATGGCATCAGCACCTGTGTGTAAGGCAGAAGGAAGCAACAGAGTAGCTGACAGACTGAGACCAGAACTACTCCCAAAATAGCATTACATATTCATTAATAAGTGCAATATATCAACTTGACAATAGCAATCGCTATGTGTTTCAATCCATTTTTATGCTGCTGATAAAGACATACTTCAGACTGGGAAGAAAAGGAGGTTTAATTTGACTTACAGTTCTACATGGCTGGGGAGGCCTCATAATCATGGCAGAGGACAAAAGGCACCTCGGCACCTCTTACATTGTGGCAGCAAGAGAGAGCGAAGAAGGAGCAAAAGCAGATATCCCTGATAAACCCATCAGATCTTGTGAGACTTATCCACTATCACGAGAATATCATGAGAAAGACTGGACCCCATGATTCAATTACCTCCCCTTGGGTCTCTCCCACAACACGTGGGAATTCTGGGAGATACAATTCAAGTTGAGATTTGGTAGGGACATAGCCAAACCATATCATTATGGAAGAATTGTTCCTCTATAATATCCGAGTGAATACAAAGGGGCTCACACAAGATCCAAAGGGGATGAAGTAGTGTGCTTTATGAATGCCCAAAACTAACTGGTCAACATATGATAAATACCCTTTCAACATCAAGTCTCACAATGGGGAGACATACTAGGAATAGAGTTGAAGTTGAGCAGGACAGAAACAACAAAGACAAAAGGCAACAAAGTCCAGACTAAAGTAGAAGAAAAAGAAGCCATGAGATCTCAGAATTAGTTAAGTCCTTGAATTTCTAACATTTTACAAAAACAGCAGAAAAGAGAACTCTAAAGCTCTAATACTATAAAATCCATCCTGACCTACCTCTTCCTCCAAAAATTGCAGAAAAATAACTTTCATATAAAAATGAGCATCAGAAAATGTTATGCTTAATTCCCATGCATAATTATAAAAACAGCGAATTAAGAGCAAAATAATGTCCTTACATATCATGAAAGCAAGACAAAAATTTTTGGAAGGAACAGATGAAACTGTTTATAACCTAATATTTAAAAATAAACAAAAATGAATTGGAAGCAATAATAGAAGCTATTAAGAAATAACATCACTTATCAGAATAAAATACACTAAAATGTAGAATGATAAAACTCAGGAAAAAATTAGAAACAACAACAAAAAAAGCTCAGAAATGGCCAGGCGCAGTGGCTCACACCTGTAATCCCAGCACTTTGTGAGGCCAAGGCAGGTGATCACAAGGTCAGGAGTTCAAGACCAAGACCAGCCTGGCCAACATGGTGAAACCCCATCTGTACTAAAAATACAAAAATTAGCTGGGCGTGGTTGTGGGCACCTGTAATCCCAGCTACTTAGGAGGCTGAGGCAGGAGAATCATTTGGACCCAGGAGGCAGAGGTTGCAGTGAGCCAAGAGTGCACCACTGCACTCCAGCCTGGGCAACTGGGCAAGACTATGTCTCAAAAAAAAAAGCTCAGAAATGAAGACTAAAATAGAAGACACTGAACAGAACAGTAAATAATAGTACTTTTTTTTTTTTGAGACACAGTCTTGCTTTGTCACCCAGGCATGCAGTGGCATGATTCCAGCTCACTACAACCTCCACCTCCTGGGTTCAAGCAATTCTCATGCCTCAGCTTCCTGAGAAGCTGGGACTACAAGTGAGCACCACCATGCCCAACTAAGCTAACTTTTGTATTTTGGGTAGAAACAGGGTTTTACCATGTTGACCAGGCTGGTCTCCAACTCCTGGCCTCAAGTGAGCTGCTGAACTCAGCCTCCCAAAGTGCTGGGATTACAGACATGAGTCACTGCACCTGGCCCAGATAGTACCATAAAAGAGACAGAAGATGAACAGAAGAAATTTTTAATTAAAAGAAATAAATAAGAATTCACAAGAGACAGTGACAAATATAGAAGATAATCAGATAACCCAACATGCGCATAGAGTGCTAGAAGAAAAAAGCCAAAGAAAATAAACAAAATAAATCCTAAAACTATAACTCAAAAAACAATTACTTTAAAATGCTGTTTTAAGCTCATTCAAGTAGCACATCAAAAACTTTTCCACCATGATCAAATAGGCTTTATCTCTGGAATGCAAGGTTGGTTCAACGGACACAAATCAATTAACATGATGCATCACACAAACAGAACTAAAGACAAAAACCACATGATTATCTCAATAGATGTAGAAAAGGCTTTCAATAAAATTCAGCACCTCTTCATGTCAAAAACTCTCAATAAACTAGGTATTGAATGAATATACCTCAAAATAATAAGAACCATCTATAACAAACCCATAGCCAACATCATATGGAATGAGTGAAAGCTGGACACATTCCCCTTGAAAGCCAGCACAAGGCAAGAATGCCCTCCATCACCAATCCTCATAGTATTGGATGTCCTGGCCTGCGCAATCAGGCAAGAGAAAAAAAAAAAAGGGCATCCGAATAGGATGAAAGGAAGTCAAACTATCCCTGTTTGCAGACAATATGATCTTGTATCTAGAAAACCCCATAGTCTCAGCCTAAAAGCTTCTTAAGCTGATAAACAACTTCAATAAAATCTCAGGATAAAAAATCAATGTGCAAAAACCACTAGCATTCCATTCCAACAACAGTCAAGCTGAGGGCCAAATCAGGAAAGCAATCCCGTTCACAACTGCCACAAAAAGAATAAAATACTTAGAAATACAATTAATCAGGGAGGTGAAATATCTCTACAAGGAGAAGTACAAAACACTGCTCAAATAAATCAGAGATGACACAAACAAACGGAAAAACATTCTGTGCTCACAGACAGGAAAAATCAATATCGAAAAAATGGCCATACTGCCCAAAGCAATTTATAGATTCAGTGCTATTCCTATTAAACTATCATTGAAATCATTCACAGAACTAGAAAAAATTATTTTAAAATTCAAATGGAACCAAAAAACAGGCTAAATAGCCAAGGCAATCCTAAGCAAAAAGAACAAAGCTGGAGGCATCACACTACCCAACTTTAAACCATTCTACAGGGCTACAGTAACCAAAACAGCATAGTAGTGGTACAAAAACAGACCCATAGACCAATGGAACAGAATAGAAAACCCAGAAATAAGGTCACACACCAACAACTATCACATCTTCAACAAATCTGACAAAAACAAGCAATAGAGAAAGGATTCCCTATTCAATAAATGGTGCTGGGATAACTGGCTAGACATATGTAGAAGATTGAAAGTGGACCCCTTCCTTATACCATATACGAAAGTCAACTCAAGACAGATTAAAGACTTAAATGTAAAACTTAAAACTACAAAAACCCTGGAAGACAACCTAGGCAATACCATTCAGGACATAGGAATGGGCAAAGATTTCATGATGAAGACACCAACGCAATTACAACAAAACCAAAAATTGACAAATGGGATCTAATTAACTAAAGAGCTTCTACACAGCAAAGGAAGCTATCAATAGAGTGAACAGACAACCTACAGAATGGGAAAAAATATTTGCAAACTATGCATCCAACAAAGATCTAATATCCAGCATCTATAAGAAACTTAAATTTACAAAGAAAAAGCAAACAACTCTATTAAAAGATGGGCAAAGGACACGAACAAACACTTTTCAAAAGAAGACATGCATGCAGCCAACAATCGTATAAAGAAAAGTTCAGCATGACTGATCATTAGAGAAATGCAAATCAAAACCACAATGAGATACTACCTTACACCAGTCAGAATGGCTATTATTAAAAAGTCAAAAATAACAGATGCTGGTGAGGTTATAGAGAAAAAGGAATGCTTACACACTGTTTTTAGGAGTGTACATTAGTCAACCATTGTGGAAGACAGTGTGGCGATTCCTCAAAGACCTAAAACCAGAAATACCATTTGACACAGCAATCCCATTACTGAGTATATACCCAAAGGTATATGAATTGCTATATTATAAAGACATATGTATGCGTATGTTCATTGCAGCACTAGTCACAAGAGCAAAGACATGGAATCAACCTAAATACCCACCAATGACAGACTGGAGAGAGAAAATGTGGTACATATACACCATGGAATACTATGCAGCCACAAAAAGGAACAAGATTATGTCCTTTGCAGGGACATGGATGGAGCTGGAGGTCATTATCCTTATCAAACTAACACAGGAACAGAAAATCAAATACTGCATGTTCTCACTTATAAGTGGGAGGTAAATGATAAGAATACATGAACACCCAGAGGGGAAAAACACACACTGGGGCCTTCCAGCAGGTGGAGAGTGGGAGGAGGAAGAAGATCAGGAAAAATAACTAATGAGTACTAGGCTTAATACCTGGGTGATGAAATACTCTGTAAAACAAACCCCGATGACAATTTACCTATGTATATATGATAGCAAACCTGCACATGTACCCCTGAACTTAAAAGTATAAAGAAAGATAAATAAAATGAAATGTTGTTTTAAGTTTAAGACTGCATTTCAAAGGGCACATCTTATATCTAGGTACAGTCAAACCAGGCCAAGCAATATAGAGAAATATTCTAACAAAATTCCTTTACTTACATAAAAAACAAAAAGTACTGAAGCATCCAAGTGCAAAGAGTAAGTCACATATAAGGGAAAGAATATCAGATGACCATCAAATTTTTTGATAGCAGTACATTATGTCAGAAGACCATAGATAACATATTTAATACATCAAAAGAAAGAAAAGAAGTGAGCCAAGGATTTTGTATATAGCCAAGCTAACCTTCAGGTATAAAAGCTGACAAATGGGCCAGGCACAGGAGCTCACATTAGTAATCCCAGCACTTTGGGAAGCCAAGGCGAGAGGACTGCTTGAGGCCAGGAGTTTGAAACCACCCTGAGCAACACAATGAGACTCAGTCTCTACAAAATACAATTTAAAAATATTAGCTGGGTACAGTGGCATATTTCTGCAGCTCTAGCTACTCAGGAGGCTGAGGTAGGAGGGTCACTTAAGCCTACGAGTTTAAGGGCAGTGAGCTTTGATCGTGCCACTGCACTCCAGCCTCGCTGACAGAGCTAGACCCTGCCAAAAACAAAAAGGCAGCTAAACAAATGGCTGTCATCAAAAAAGGACTAAGAGAATATTGTTCTCATGAGCCCTTCTTGGGTTCCCACCACGTGAGTGTGAGCTTCAGTTAGCCAAAATCGCTGTAGCAAAAGCAACACAAGGACTACATGTGAACGTTAAACACACATACACGTAGAGTAGAATATATCAGGACTCCTTGGAGAAACAACTGATTCCATGTCTGGAGCAGGAAATGGACAGAGAGCCTAACATTTTGCCATACGAGATTCCTAGGAAACCATCAAAGACTACCAAGACTAATGCTGAAAAAATCAGAAGCCAACTTGAAGAGACTCCCATGGGCCAAAAATGAACACTTTGAACAGGAACGAAAAATAACTTCAATGGATTAAAATACATCAAATGTGTTTTCACTCATGAGTACATAATGATGCCTAAAATTTTAAAAGTAATTGGTCATTACTGGAAAATACTAGAGAATTCAATTTACTATTTAAATACCTGCCTTCTTGGTAACCAAATAGTAGAGGCGATAAGTTGATTACTGGAATCAGTAATTTTATATTGAATCAGAAAGGAGCAATAGAATTAGAATGTTGCCATTTTGTAACCCCTGATTAATCAACATTGACAAGGAACACCAATGTCACAAAAAAGAGAGACAGCCAGACTTTACATGCCTCCTTTGGAAGAGTCTTGCCAAAAAATATTGAAGCTGAATCTGACCACATCTTGAGATCCAACTGCCAATGTACAGGAAATAAAGAGGACAGGGAAACATTTTTAAATATAACGTGGATATAATCACTCATGGGAAACTATAAAGGACAAAAGAGATAGTTGCGAGGGGAAAAGAGAGAGGAAGAGGAAGGAGGAAAGTATACATTAGATTTTAAGAGCCTTAAAATACATGTCAACCAGTCACAAGGTGTGGACCTTATTCAAACAAACTGTTAAAAAGTGACATTTATGGAAAATGGAAATTTGAATACTACCTTAATATTTGATGACATTAAAGAATTAGGAGTAACTTTTTAAGGTATGGTAATGATAATATTTTTTAAGGAGTCCTTATTTTGTAAACATATATACTATACCAATTTGGGGGCAATTGTATAATGTCTCAGATTTGCTTCAAAATAACATGGACAAAATACATCCACACACAAATGAATATAAGAATATAAGTAAAACTGAGAATATATGAATAAAATTGATAGATTGTATCAATGTCAATATTCTAGTTGTGATATTGTACTGCATATAGTTTTGCAAGAAGCTTGTGTTGGGGAAAACTGCATGAAGGATACACAGATCTCTGTGTTATTTCCTAAAACTTCATGTGAATTTACAATGATCTCAATAAAAATTCCAATTAAAAAACAATAATATGGGGGATACTGGTGGGGATAGAGACAAAGATGATGGCAATGAATTGATAATTGCTGAAGCTGGATGCCGGTCCAAGGGAGTTCATGATACTAGGTTATTCATACTTGAATATGTTCATAATTTTCTATAATCAAGCTTTTAGTGCACTTGTTTGTATATCTCTCCATTTATGAAATTTTCAGGACAGGTTTTGTGTCTTATTTATCCCTGTATGCCCAATTACTTACACAAGAATTGGCTGAAAATATGTCGGTTAGATAAACTCGTGGAGAGATGGTTAGAAAAATGGAGCTGTGAATGAGTGCCTAGATCCTAATGGAAAAGTACATACAAATGCTGAAGGATTTCATCCCAGATGTGACGCAAAACCCCAGTGGATATCAATTGTTGCCAAGCTAAGGACTTTATATAATAGGAGTATGGCAGACTATCTAAGTGCTTACCAACATCTGATTAAAATTATAATTCCAAATTCCATTGAAATCAGGTTTAAGACTTGTTTTGGCCAACTAAATATGACAAAAAGTCATTTGTGTTACTTCCAGGAAAATGTTTTAGAAACAATTCACCATGTTCCCTTTTTTTTTTTTTTCGTAACCTGTGACATAGAAGGAATGTTCCCTCTCTTTGTTTTTTGTTTTGTTCTGTTTTTTTGTTTGTTTGTTGTTGAGACAGAATCTTGCTTTGCTGCTCAAGCTGGAGTGCAGTAGCTTGGTCATGGCTCACTGCAGCCTTCACCTCCCAGGCTCAAGTGATCCTGTTGCCTTAGCACCCCTGACCCCCACCCCCTGAGTAGTTGGAACTACAGGCATGAGCCACCACATCCAGCTATCTTTTTTCATGTTTAGCAGAGATGAGGTCTCACTATATGTCCAGGCTGGTCTCAAACTACTGAGCTCAAGTGATCCTCCTTCTCAGCCTCCCAAAGTGCTAGGATTACAGGTGTGAGCCACCATGCCCGGCCCCTTCTCCTTGTCTCAGACAGAAACACCATCATTATTCCATAAGGTAGCTGCTCCATTCCAGAGTATGGCCTGGAGTAACGTGGAACAGAGAAATACAGCCAACTAGTGAGAAGTGTGTAGTGTGTGTGTGAGAAATAAGCCTTTGTTGCTGAATGCCCTGGGGATTTTGGAGTTCATTGTTTCGTTACACATATAAGATAGCATAACCTGACTGATGAGGGAGTCACTTAGGTTTTGCCTTGTTTTATTATAGCAGGAGTGAGACTAGCAAAAGCTGGGCCAGTAAAGAGCTGATGAGAGCATAAAGGAAGCCAGAGGCAGTGGAGAGGGATGGAGCTGAGAGATACTGTAGAAGTAGAATCTATGGGACGGAAAAAGTGACTGGATCAGGGAGAAAACTATTCAGGGAGGCTTCAGGGGATGGCTGTGTGAATGGTGCTGCTCTTCCTGAGAAAGGGAACCCTGGAAGAGGAGGAGCCTGTGTTAAGAGGAAGATGACAACTTTGGTTCTAACTTAAAAGAGATCATGCAAGAGACTAAAAATACACCTTGTTTACATCATCCAGCTGCACAGTAAGCAAGCCAGAATCTCAAATCAGACTGTGGGTATCAGAATAGTGAAGATGTGAGCAAAAGCCCATCCCAAGGTCATGTACATGGCCCTGCTTTTCAAGCTGGGCTGGGCCTGCAAAATCTCTGACAGATGGGTGAATTTCTGTCTCTCAACCTCAGCCAGGAAACCTCTCCAGGAACCTAGCAAGGTTCTGTCTAACAAGGCCAGTGGTCAGCAGGTTTTCTTCTTAGTAAGCAGGCAACCTTCACCCCTGGGGTAGATCAACCGCAGACACTTAATCAATAATCACTCCTACCAAGGCTTTCAAGAATTGCTTCAGAGGTAGGGGTTCCTTGTTTCCTGAAGTCTTTCTGAGCTTCATCCTTGAACAGGACTCTTTCTAGAAGTCTCTTTTCTTGTCAAAGGTAAAACAAGCCACGAAAGATCTAAGTAATACATCTTTATTTGGTAGCTTCCTACATTAGCCATCTCTTACCAGGAGTAGTTATAATAAAATAACAATAATAAAAATTACAATTTATTTAGTACTTTGTTATATGCCAGCTATTGTGTAAAAGGCTTCATATACATTACCTCATTCATTCAGGTAGCCCTCACATCAACAGTAGGAAGTTATAAAAAATAATGTGATAGAAAACATAGGCATTACTTACTGAGAAAGACAAAATCTGGTGAATACAGGGTTCTCTGTTTGCTGAGCAGGGTGATGGTTGTGGAAGGTAAGCTTGGAGGAATCAGAGCTAAATTATTCTAGATCATCAGGAGACAGGGAATGAGAGAGAGTAATGGAAAGGAGGAGAGGAAGAAGGTCTGGGAGTTGGAAGGCACCACCTAGATGTTGGAGCCCTGAGTGGGGTAAAAGAGAAAGAAGAGGCTGGACACAGTGGCTCACGCCTGTAATCCCGGCACTTTAGGAGGCTAAGGCAGGTGGATCAGGAGGTCAAGAGATCGAGACCATCCTGGCCAACATGGTGAAACCGTGTCTCTACTAAAATACAAAAAATTAGCTGGGAGTGGCAGTGCGCACCTGTAGTCCCAGCTACTCAGGAGGCTGAGTCAGGGGAATCACTTGACCCTGGGAGGCGGGGGTTGCAGTGAGCCGAGATGGTGCCACTGCACTCCAGTCTAGGTGACACAGCTAGACTCTGTCTCAAAAAAAAAAAAAACAAAAAGGAGGAGGAGAAAGAAGAAGACACACACACACACACACACACACACACACACACACACACGATGGGGTATCTGGAAATACCATACAATTTGGTGTTTGTTGCAGAGTGTACCATGTAAAGCCCTTCTGAATTCCCTCTACAAAATCTTGAGCAAAATTTTCATTGCTCACTAATACTTTGAAAAGAGGATTCTTTCCAGGAGTGATTATAAAGAGGTACTGAGTCCCACTTCAAGGTTAGGGCAAGGCAAAAACAGGATGTTCATGAGGTCTTTACAATAATAATGACAGAAATGTTTTTATCGGGCAGGAAAAAATATGCAAAGTTCTAAATGGATCAACAAACTGTGGCACATCCATACAATAGAACACTACTCAGCTCTAAAAAAAAAAAATTAACAAGCTGCTGATTCAACAGCAACATAGATACATCTTAAATGTATTTTGTCAGTTGAAAGAAGTCCAGAACCAAAATACTTCATAGCATTCATATCATATGATTCTATGTATACGATATGATAGGAAAGGCGAAGCTTTAGGAACAGAACACAGATCAGCGGTTGCCAAGGGTTGGGAGAAGGGAAGGGGGTGACTACATGGAGTCCATATAAGGGATTTTTCAGGGTTGTGGAACGATTCTCTGTGGCCCTGAAGTGGTGGTTACATGAATCTATGTATTTGTCAGAATTCTTACAGAGTCAATTGTACTGTACACAGTTTTTATAAAAAGCGACTAGGATGCCCAGGGAAACCAGGATGGAATCCAGGACATGAAAAATAAATCTAGGCCAGGCGCAGTGATTCATGCCTGTAATCTCAGCACTTTGGGAGGCTGAGGCAGGCGGATCACCTGAGGTCCAGAGTTCAAGACCAGCCTGGCCAACATGGCAAGACCCTGTCTCTACTAAAAATGCAAAATTAGCCAGGCATGGTGGCAGGTGCCTCTAATCCCAGCTACTACTACAGAGGTTGAGGCATGAGAATCGCTTGAACCCGGGAGGCAGAGGTTGCAGTGAGCTGAGATCATGCCACTGCACTCCAGCCTGGGGGACAGAGTGAGACTCTGTCAAAAAACAAAAAAAAAAGAAAAAGAAAAGAAATCTAACTGTATTACAAATATACAAATATATCATATAACCTCACCGATGGGAGTAGAAAAAAAGGGAGTTGACCTAATTAACCTTGAAAAATGGTGTGTTAATTGTATACTGGGATTAACAAATAACTAAATAAATTGTAGATAATGGAAACTACATTTTTTACTGTCACAGAAAAGAAGTTAAAAATAAGCAAAGAGGGGAAGCTAGAATAAACCCTTGAGAGTAGGCTGGACTTACTGACTCATCTCCAAGGATTAAATTATGGAGATGAGAAACATCTCTGACTTATGATATTTTGACTTTAGGATGGTGCAAAAGCAATATGAATTCAGTAGAAACTGTATTTCGAGTACCCATACAGCCATTCTGTTTTTCACTTTCACTATTCAATAAATTACACGATTTCATGAGATATTTAATTCTTTGTTATAAAGCTGGCTTTGTGTTAGATGATTTTGTCCAACTGTGGGCTAACATAAGTGTTTTGTGCATGTTTGAAGCAGGTTAGGCTAAGCTATGATCTTTGGTAAGTTTGGTGTATTAAACACATTTTCAATTTATAGCATTTTTCATTTACAATGGGTTTATTAGGATGTAACCCCTCATAAGTCAAGGAGTATCTGTACTACCCTTAAAGTAGATAAAACTGGCAGATACCACCTTAACCAAGTGATTAAGGTTAACACCAGCAGTGCTAAGTCATGTGGAGTTCATGGACCCTCTACATGAAGCAATAAGAAACACACTTTACATCAGTAGTTTTCTTCCTTATAGGATTATATCTTATACTCCCAGTTTCATAATGAGAAAAACATCAGAAAAACTAAAACTGAGGAATATTTTATAAAATATCTGATCAGTTCTCCTTAAAACTGTCAAAGTCATGAAAGAAGAAATGAATGAGAAACTGTCACAGATTGGAGAAGATTAAGGAAACATGATAACTGAATGCAATATGATATCCTGGATTGGATTCTGGAACATACAAAAGTATATCAGTGGAAAAACAAGGGCAATCTGAAGTCTGTTGTTTAACAGCAAAGTACCAACGTTAGTATCTTAGGTTTAACCAATGTGCCGTGATTACGCAAGACGCTAACATCCGGGGAAGCTGGGTGAAGGTTACATGGGAACTTTCTACACTATCCTTATAACTTTTCTGTTAGTAAAAATTATCCAAAATATTGGCATGGCCTGGGAGTAGATTATGTAATCT
This sequence comes from Homo sapiens, assembly GCF_000001405.40. Lineage (NCBI taxonomy): Eukaryota > Metazoa > Chordata > Mammalia > Primates > Hominidae > Homo > Homo sapiens. Next base: position 34,135,887 of record NC_000022.11, on the reverse strand, counting down.
CTGCCCACATGCTGTTGGCGAGAACCCAGTCATGTATCTCTAACCTACCTGCAGGATAGCTGGGAACTATACTCTGCCTGCATGCACGAGAAGATGAATATTAAACAAGATTTTGTGAATAGTTAGCATTGTCTCTACCATCATAGAAGTACAAGCCAGAGAGAGTGGGCAAGAAAATGTTCACCACCACAAATTCAAGCAGCATTTTTTCCCCAAATGAAATGCGTTTGACCCTAGCCTTTAGCCATCCACAGAACAGCCAGAAACATTTTGGGAATACAATCGGGACTTAGCCACAGCTATGGTGTTGGGAAAAGAGTCTGTACAGCAGTGACGGGAACTAATGCTTTGAGAACCTAAACAGCTTTGTACTTTAAATATATTGTCCCATTTTATTCTCACAACTACCTGCCAGTTTCAGAAATGTGGAACCTGACAATTAGAGAGATTTCGGGGTTTTTGCCATATGGACTTACTGAAAATCAAGTTATGGATGTTTGATTAAAAAAAAAAAACTCTACTGGGTCTCCGCCATGGCCTAAATTGTATGTTGAAGCCCTAACTCCCAATACCTCAGCATGTGACTATATTTGGAGACAGAGTCTTTAAAGAGATAATTAAGTAAAGTGAGGTCATGAGAGTGGGCCCTTATCTAATACTACTGCTGTCTTTGTAAGATGAAGAAATTTGAACACAGACATGCACAGAGAAAAGACAAGGTGAAGATTCAGACAGAAGACAGCCATCTGCAAGCTAGGAAGAGACAGGTCTTGAAAGAAACCAACCCTACTGACACCTTGATCTCACACTTCCAGCCTCCAGAACTATGAGAAAATAAATTTTTGTTGTTTAGGCTCCCTAGGCTATGGTACTTTATTATAGAAGTGCTCGCAAACTAATATAGTCTCTCTGAAGTTGTTCCCTGGGCCATTGAGCTCCATGGGAAAGAGTGGAGAGTGAGTTTCTATTCTCAGCTGGCCTTCTCCAAATGGAGAATGCAACTTCAGTGAAGCAAGGTGCTACTCTCACCCACTTCACCCCATAAAAGAGCAGAAGCTTCATCCTGCCCATCCCCACTGCTGACCCCAATCGCCATACCAGAGAGGCAGTGTGATCAACTAGGACAAGCCCAGGCTGTTCCACTTAGGAGCTGGGCCACCACAATGAAAAACATTGGCAATACCTACCCAAGAAGGTGCTTGTTAGGCTAAGGTGGCTTAATGTTTGTGAAAGCGCTAAATACCATTCCGGGACACACTCAGTCAAAACATGCTCATAGTATTCCCATCACCACAGCTGGGGGACTCAGGGTTATTCTCTCGTGAGTTTGTAGTCAAAAGTCAAAGTTTGCCAATCAGTTACACTTGGGTGGAGATTTTTAGGCCATCATTAGGTGATCTTGGCTAAATCAGCTCTCTGAACTCTGCTCATCTGTTAAACGGGAACAATGGCAGTGGCTCCCTTCCGAGGACTCTTCCCAGGTCCCAAAGAAATCAGAAGTATAAAGATCTCAGCACAGAGGTTGGCCTAGCATAAGCGTTCATCAACAAGGGTGCTAGAATTTTTGGTTTGGTTTTCAAATGTCTCTTCCTCCACTCCCCCATAATGCATTGGCACAAGCACCAGCTCACCTGGACTCATCCATAGAGGTGACATCTTAATCACCAGACGCGTGGGTCTGAGGAAGCGGAGCTTGCAGCCTCATCACGTTATGACAACTCATGGAGAACATGATGTGACCCTGGACTGTGGTTTTAAAATGGTGTTTTCATGTCTTCTGGGGAACGGCTACCTCCTTACAATCTATTTTTTTCCCCCCAGGCTGGAGTGCAATGGTATGATCTCGGCTCACTGCAACCTGCGCCTCCTGGGTTCAAGCGATTCTCCTGCCTCAGCCTCCCGAGTAGCTGGGATTACAGGCACCCGCCTGGCTAATTTTTTTGTACTTTTAATAGAGACGGGGTTTCACTATGTTGGCCAGGCTAGTCTCGAACGCCTGACCTCAGGTGATCCACCTGCCTCAGCCTCCCAAAGTGCTACGATTACAGGCGTGAGCCACCACACCTGGCCCACAAATCTTTATTTTAGAGATGACTCTACTTAAAAGGGCAAAAAATGTTTGGGGAAGGAAGATTATATCCTTGTTCTCAGACATCACTCTGGAAAAGGAACAGAAAGTGCTCCCAGCAGGTCAGCATCAATACAATTCTATATTTAATACTGTGGTTTGCTTTTGTGAATTCCTTTTTAGCTGGTCATTAAGAGCATAATTGCTGATTGGAATCGGTGCACAGGGAGAGATTTACTTGCCGTCTGCTTTTGAATCTTAATTGTAAGGCAGATGGAATGAGTTTGTGTACTGACCTGGGAATGGGCCGGGAGACATCTTCTCAATGGAGTCAAAAACAAACAAACCCAACCCATATGCAGTCAGGCTCAGAACCTGAACAACATGGAAGGCTGCAGGGCAGAAAAACTGGACCAACTCCCCTGGGGCTGAACTCTGGCTCCAGCAACCAAGGCAATTGGAAGTCTGCATTGGTCACCAGAAAGGACAAAGACTGAACAGGCTCCTCAAATAGATTCGACAAACTTGTACTGAGCCCCTTGTAAGCATCCCAGCCTGGATGCGCCACCACCCATCAACCACATAAGCCTGGAAAAGTTCCTTACTCTCCCTGAGGCTCAGTTTCCTTAGTTGTAGAATGAAAATAATAATGCCTACCTAATAGAATTCCTGTGAGATTTGATGAACTAAACTGGTACGTGGTAATTGTTCAGTGTGAATAATAATACTCACAGGTAATATTTAAGTGTTTACTATGTGGCAAGAGTTGTATATGGGATAAATCGTTTAATACTAACAATCTTATAAATAAGCACTATTATTCTTATTTTTAAAAAGAAAGCCGAAAAAGTGGCTCATGCCTGCAATCCCAGCACTTTGGGAGACTGATAGGAGGATCACTTGAGGCCGGGAGTTCAAGACCAGCCTGGGCAACATAGTGAGACCCCCCCACCAATCTCTATAAAAAAAAAAAAAATTAGCCGAGTATGATGGCATACACCTGTAGTCTCAGCTACTTGAAAGGATGAGGCAGAAGAATTGCTTGAGTTTAAGAGTTCAAGGCTGCAGTGAGCTAGGATCCCATCATCAGACTTAAGCTTGGGTGACAGAGCAAGACCATATCTCTAAAAAAAAAAAAAAGAGAGAGAGAGAAGAAAAAAATAGAAGGAAGGAAGGAAAAGAAAAAAGAAAAGAAAATGATGTAAAATTGAGGCTTAAAGAAGTTAAGTAAATTTCTTTGGTCTCAGAGCCAGTAAGTATAGGCTAGAACCGGGTTTTCAGCTCAGGTAATTTGATTCCAAAGTTTTAACTCTTAATTACTATGAAATTATGGTTCATAGCAGAAGCAGGATCATCCAGCTTCGTTAATAACAAAACCCCAATCTTGGCCCTCAAACAGCTTGCACACTAATGGGGGCATAAGACATGTAAACAAACACACAAGTGACTAAACAATATGCTAAGTACTAGAAAAGAGTCATGAACAAAATGCTGCGAATATACAGAGTGGAGAAGAGCTTACCTGCCTGGTGGAGTTAGGCATCACAATAGAGGTAACATTTAAGCTGAGGAACTCACCAGGCAGAGAAGAAAGGATGAGAACGTTACAGCAAGAACAAAGTCATAAAATCACGGAGGGTCAGGTTTTTGTCAGGGCCATGATGAGAAGCCCTGTGTGCCCTTGACTCCAGAGAGCATTAGAGGGTTCATGAAGGATCTTATGTGTGCTGTGATGGTTAATATTGGGTCTCAACTTGATTGGATTGAAGGATGCAAAGTATTTTTCCTGGGTGTGTATGTGAGGGTGTTGCCAAAGGAGATTAACATAAGAATCAGTGGACTGGGAGAGGCAGACCCACCCTTAATCTGGGTTGGCACCATCTAATCAGCAGCCAGTGGGGCTAGAATAAAGCAGGAAGAAGAAAGAGGAAAGAGCAGACTTGCTGAGTCTTCCAGCCTTCATCTTTCTCCCGTGCTGGATGCTTCCTGCCCTCGAACATCAGACTCCAAGTTCTTCAGCTTTTGGACTCTTGGACTTACACCAGTGGTTTGCCGGGGACTCTTGAGCCTTTGGCCACAGACTGAAGGCTGCACTGTCAGCTTCCCTACTTTTGAGGTTTTGAGACTCAGACTGATCCACCACTGGTTTCCTTGCTCCTCAGCTTGCAGATGGCCTATTGTGGGACTTTACCTTGTGATCCTGTCAGTCAATTCTCCTTAATAAACTCCCTTTCATATATACATATATCCTATTAGTTCTGTCCCTCTAGAGAATCCTAATACATGTGGCAAGTGATGGGTGTATCTTGCAGAAACTAACGGGCTATGGCAGATTAAGCAGGACAATACACTTATCAAATGAGTGTTTTTTAGGAAAACTCCTCTAGCAGCAGTTTGGTATAGTGGAGACAGTCATTGAAAAGGTGAAAAAGACTAAAAATTAGATTCAAAGCTGGTGAGTGACGGATACTTTGGGACTATGGAGTCAGCAAACTGTAGCTTATACACCAGGCAGGATGGGCTCTCTGGCCCAAGAATGAAGCACATGTCCCCAGCATGGGAAATTCTGTCTGCCTAGAGGTCAGATACAATGATGGAGGAGGCCTTCAGATGATAAATGAAAGAAGGAAAGAATGCCAAAATCAAACCTTTTACCTGATGAAAACAAACATGCATTCAGACATTCTGCAGATTGTTTTTTTTTGTTTTTTTTTTGAGATGAAGTTTCACTCTTGTTGCCCAGGCTGGAGTGCAATGGCACCATCTCGGCTCACTGCAAGCTCCACCTCCCAGGTCCAAGCGATTCTTCTCTCAGCCTCCCGAATAGCTGGGATTACAGGCATGCGCCACCAAGCCCGGCTAATTTTTGTATGTTTTAATAGAGATGGGGTTTCACCATGTTGGTCAGGCTGGTCTCAAACTCCCGACCTCAGGTGATCCACCCACCTTGACCTCCCAAAGTGCTGGGATTACAGGCATGAGCCACCGTGCCCGGCCCATTCTGTAGATTCTTGTTAAGCAGTTAGTGAAACTGTAGGCACTAGGTGGAGGTATAGAACAAATTGTCATAGCTTCTGCCCTCAAGGAGCACACCATCAGTGTGTATAAAGAACATTGAGAGCCTGAGGTTCTGAGGGGCCACTTGGGAAAGCAGAGATGCCCAGTGGGATAACACACTCCAAGAGCATCACACAGCGACTTGATGAAACAGGATTCAATAAACGACAGCCAGGACATCAGAAAGTATTCCTTTCCCTTCAAAATGAAAAGGATACAGACTCTACAGACCAAAACCTGGTGAGCAAGTCACAATGGAGAATAGCACTTCTTATAACAATATTATAAGAAGATAAAATGGCTTTGCACCATATGAGGAACACAGGATTTGGAGTTTTGCCAACCTAGGTTACACCTCAGACTCTTTCACTGACTCTCAGACTGACCTTGGATTGGTTACTTCATCTTTCACCTGCCTCCATAATCTCTTGGCTTGGGAGATGTGGACAATAATACCTCCCACCTGGGTTTGTGGTGAGGGATACGTGAGGAGACATTGTAAAATCTCCATTAGAGGGACTGGAATGCAGCAGGTGAATGTTGGCATCTTTGAGGCCACCCAATAAATCTGCTTTTCCTCCCTGCCCAGATTTCTAAACAAGGAGGGAAATAAAACACAAGAATAGAAATAGAGGTCAAATATTAACTTTATTGCTGACTATCTGGTTATCTATTGCTATATGACAAACCACTATAAACTTGAGTGGCTTTTAAAAATATATATTTATTTTGCCCATAAAGCTGCCATTTGTACGGGCCCAGATGGTGGCTGGGGACAGGTTAGTGCTGCTCTACTCTGCATCATTTACAGCAGCTCAAAGTTTGAGAGCTAGAATCATCTGTTCACATACCTGGCAGTTGATGCTGTTGTCAGCTGGGACCTATGGCCAGGACACTGATACCTGTTGTCTCCATATGCTGGCTGGGGTCAAAAGCAAGCAGCCTCAGAGGACAAAGTAGAAGGCATATTGTCTTTTATGACTTAGCCTTGGAAGTCACGTGGCATCGTTTCTGCTATTTTCATAGTCCTACCCAGATTTAATGGAAAGGAACACAGACTTCCCACCTCTTGTTGGAGGAGTCTCAAGATCACATTTTAGGGGCACATGTGGGATGAGATATAGATGGGTGTAGCTATATTGGGAAAATGCCATCTGTCCCACTGATGGAAGCTAACCAGTCAGGCTAAGTTACAGAGGAGAGTTTAATGACGTGACTATTTCCAAGGGTGTGGGAAAGGTTTAGGAAAAGCAACCAGACCCAGTTACATTAGAAGCTGTTACTATGCCTGGGAGGGAAAGGACCAGGGGAGGGAGTGGTTACCTGATAGAGCCACAGACTCCAGTTAAGAGACTCAGCCGACCAACGGTGACAGGCAGAGAGAGAGAGAGCTGAGGGAATAAATACCCTGACCTTACTCTCCTCCTGCCTTTTAATCTCCTTCCAGAATTCCCCAGTCTGAAACCAGAGGGCAAAGTAGTCTGTTGATGCAGGATGTAGTTTGGAATGCAACAAGAATAGAAAAGGGTAGGAAATGAACCTGAAGGGGCAAACAAAAGTCATCTGGCACAAAACCCACGTTGGGAGATCTGGGTTCAGGCGGGATTGTTACATGGATCAATTATCTTCTAACCTCCCAATCCAGAACTAGGACCAGCACATCAGCAGGATGTTTGCGTCTGAGGAGCAGAGGCATTTACCCAGGCATTTGTCTTCTATTGATCATGTGGAGGAGGAAGGAGAGAGAGATCAAATTAGTCCCCGTTGCTACATTCATCTAAGCAGAAATGTGGTCCCCAACCGGATCATTCACTCCATCACTCTGGAGGTAGGAGGTGTAAAAGGTCTGGAGGTGCTGTTGAAAGTCCCCATCAAGAAAATAGTGGTAGAAAAAGGACTCCCCTGAGCAGGGTTCAGTCACCTCTTGCTTTTGTCTACCTGCCCCCTGCCTTTCATGGAAAAGGAAACAGTGACACCAAGGCCCTGTGAGAGGAGTACAGAGACAGATTTTTTTCTGTATTAAGCCAGCAGCATAATCTATCCATTTCAGATACAGCAAACGACCAATTTAAAACAAAAGACTTTTCATTAGATTTCCGCATTTCCCATGTACACAAATAACCAAAAGGGGCCAAGCAACGCCTGGGCATCTCAGTCTTACTCATTCCACAACCTGACATTCTTTGGGGCAACTTTTCAAATAAATAGCAAGGATGAACAAGAGGCAAATGCTTTGTGCAAACACCAGTAATTCTCATTTTAAGCTCTTACGTATTGACATGTTCAGGCTATAATCTCTCTCTCTCTCTACCTGTCCTTCTTTGGGGGAAGGCGAAGAGGTTAAGAGAGCAATTTCAATAACAGAGAGCTGATGAGGAAGAAGGGTGGCATTGGAGATACCAGCATGATGGTGGCCTCCTCTGGAACCCACCCCAGACCTCCCAGGCATGGTCGACTTCCTCCTGCTGTGCTCTCCCCACACGATGACCTCCACAACTTAAACACAGCTTTTCTCTGTGCATGTGTTCACCCTTCCACCCTTCTTAAGGGTAGAGGCAGCTCCTTATTGGTAGAGGTAATGTCCTCCTCACTTCTACATAGCTCAGTATACAGCTCATTCAGTGTGAGGCATTTAACAATATGGAGTGGGGTCAAGTGGAGTGAACATACCAGCTATGGAAAAAGCTATTTTTTGTACATATCTTCCATAGGAGATATTGTAACACTCTTCCCTTTCCCCACTTGTAATGCTCAAAGAAATGATACATGTAAAATTGCTGTACAAACTGTAGTTCCTGTAATGCACCACACTAGTCTAAGTGCTGAGAGGAACAGCAGTCAACTCTCAGAAAGACGGCACAATATTAAGAGAAACACTGCCTCACTTCAATCCTAGCTCCACCTATTACTAGCTGTGTGATTTTGATCAAGTCACTTACCCTCTCTGTGCCTTGGTTTTATCATTTGTAAAATTGGAAGTACTGTATACTGTGCTCTATCTCATACAGTAGCTTGAGAATTAAATTAGAATCAAATATATATCTTGGAACAGTGCCTGGCATTACCAAGCACTATATTAACATTAGCTACTACAGATAAGCATTCTTATTTTCATTATTGTTAATAACCTGTACCTGGCTACCATCACAATCTCCTACAGTACTGCAAGTGAAATAAATCTTAGATGTCCTGCATTCCAACCTCCTGCCACTGCACCCTTGATGAGTAAGTGGCCGGACACAGAAGGAATTAACCTTTCTCAAGTACCTATTATATGCTAAGACACATGCTAGGTGCTTTCTATACATCCTTACACTTTTGGCTCAATGAAGTGGATATTACTATTCTTCTATTTTACGGATGTGGGAAGCAAAGTGTAAAGGGAAACTTGCCCCCAGCCACAAAGCTAAGAAATGGTGGAGTTTGGATTCCAACTGAGACCTCCATAGCCTCAAATCTTAATGAACATTTTGTTAGCTGCCATCTTGCTTGGTGCTCGACTGGTTGCATGCAAGCTAGCCTTCTCTCTCCACCCAGACTTGCACATCTGCCACTCACTCCTGCTCATTCCTGTCTACCGACTCTCATTTAATAAGTCTAAAAATACTTTAACTGTTTCATATCTTCGTAATTTTCTGAACACCACTACACGTCAGCCACTAGCATGTGTGCAGTGAGTACAAAAATGAATAATACTTAATCCCTGCCCACCAAGTCTAAGGAACTCTGTGTTTCTCATGCTAGGTAACTATTAGGATGTTTCACTGATTGAGATAGAGGAAGAGATTGAGAACCACAGCAAATGCCTTAGACTGAGTTCCCCTTGGAAAGCAAACCCTGAGTCAAGGACTTGTGTGCAGGCAGTTTGTTTTGGAAAGTGATCCCGGGAGCAGAATGGGAGGCTGTAGATAATGAAACACAGAACAAGGGCATGATGTGTGATATCAAGTTGGTTGCCACAGCGGACAACTGGGGCACAATTCCCCTGGGACCTTCAGAGGAGAACTGGAGAATGCATCTCAGAATTGTCCACCAACATTTGTTCACCAGCTCATATCCCCTAGGGTTCAAAAGTCTGCCATGCCATGGGGGTACTAATTGCCTTGCACTTCCAGGTAGCACATGTTTGAATGCCAGGCACATTTGCCACAAGCATCCTACAATCCCATGCCACAAATCTAGAGATGCCCCAGGGCAGAAAACATGGTACGGTGCATTCACTGGGCAGTCAGTGCAGGAATGGGGACCAGCAACATCAGTGTCACCTGAGAACTTGTGAGAAATGCAAATTCTCATGCCTCACCCAAGACCTACTGAGTCAGACACCCTAGGGCTCAGCAGTCTGTCTTTTTGTTTTGCTTTGTTTTTGTTTTTGTTTTGAGTCTCACTCTGTGGCCCAGGCTGGAGCGTAGTGGCGTGATCTCGGCTCACTGCAACCTCCACCTCCTAGGTTCAAGTGATTCTCCTGCCTCAGCCTCCCAAGCAGGTGGGACTATAGGTGCCCACCACCAAGCCTGGATAATGTTTTTGTATTTTTAGTAGAGACGGGGTTTCACTGCATTAGCCAGGATGGTCTCCATCTCCTGACCTCATGATCTGCCTGCCTCGGCCTCCCAAAGTGATTGGATTACAGGCGTGAGCCACCGTGCCAGGCCAGCAGTCTGTTTTAACAAGCCCTCCAGGTGATTCTCATACATACTCAAATTTGAGAACCCTAGCCTATGTATTGTGGAAGAGGACACATAGGTGGCTGATATGGTTAACTACTCTTTATCCAGAATTCCAGCAACAGAAAGCTCAAATAACTTTAAGTTAAAAGGTAATCTCAGGGTTGCCTTCAACTCTTCCCTTTTTCTCAATTCCCATGTTCAACACAGCCCCTCCCATTCCTAAATCTATTGTCTGTTTCTACTTTCACACAACAGAGACTTCATGGCCCACACACCTAAAATATTTACTATGTAGCCATTTAAGAACTTTGCCAACCCCTAAAATAAGAGTCCAGAAATTGATGTGCACAAATACGGTCATCTGGTTTTTGACAAAATGTGAGTAGATTTATGCGGATTTCTTCAATTCCAGTTTCAAGGACAATGCAAATAATAGTCTTTTCAACAAATGGAACTGGAACAATTAAGTATCCATATGTAAGAAAATAAACATTGAACTATATCTTTTACCTTATAAAAGGTTAACTCAGAGTAGATTATATACATAAATATATATATATGAAAAACATAATCATATAAAGCCCCAAAGAAACACTGTAGCAAACCATCTTGGACTTTGGTTAGGCAAAACATTTTTAGACACGATAGCAAAAGCATGATCCATAAAATAATAAATTGAAAAATTATACTACATTAAAACTAAAAATTTTTGATCCATTGAAGGCAGTGTTAAGAAATGAAATAATAAGCTGGAGACCAGGAGAAAATATTTGCAAATCACGTATCATACAAAAAAATGTATTTAGAATATATTAAAAAACTCTTAAAAACTCACCAAGAGGAAAAAACCCAATTTATGAAAATGAGCAAAAGATTTGAACAAACACTTTGTCAAAGAAGATATTTAGATGGCAAATAAGCACATGAAAAAATGCTTAACAGCATTGGTCATTAGCAAAATGCAAATTAAAATCATGAGACACACCTACACATTTTGTAGTTTACTTTTGTAAGACCATGAGATTATCCCTACTTATTAACCTGTCGCCCAGGTTTTGAAGATTTTTCACATTCATTTGTTTATACTAGTTTAAGAGACAAAGTCAATGTCCACGAGAACGGCTAACATAAAACATTTTTTAAAAATTTGACACTACTAAGTGCTGGTGGGGATGTGAGACAATTGGATATTTTGTGCATCGCTCATAGGAATGAAAAATAATATAACCACTCAGGAAAACATTTTGGCAATTTCTTATAAAGTTCTAAACATATACCACCTCACCAAGAAATCACGCTCTTAATATTTACCCTAGGGAAATGAAAATATGTTCAGCCAAAAACCTGTACATGCATATTTATCACAGCTTCCTTCAAAATTGCCCAAAACTGGAGACAACAAAAATGTCCTTCACAAAAGAATGAATGAACAAACTGTGGTCCATCCACACAACAGAACACCAACCAGAACTTAAAAAAAAAAAAAAAACAGTTGCAGTCACAATATTAGATGAATCTCAAGGCGTTATACTAAGTGAAATAAGCCAATCTGAAAAGGTTCCACATTATAAGATTCCATTTATACAACTTTCTGGAAAAAAACAACTTAAAGTGGTAATCAAAAACAAGGGGTCAGGGAAGGGTGGGACTGTGAAGGAACACCATAAGAGAGAATGTTGAGATGATGAGGCAGTTCTGTGTCACAATTGTGAAGGTGGCTATACAAATCTATATATGTGTTAAAACTCATCAACTGAACAGCAAAATAAAATGAGTTTTACTGTATACATATTAATATTTAAAACCAGGAAAAAAAAGAGTAGAAAGCCTAGGAGAAATACTTAATGTAGATGATGGGTTGATGGGTACAGCAAACCACCATGCCACATGTATACCTATGTAACAAACCTCACATTCTGCACATGTATCCCAGAACTTAAAGTATAATTAAAAAAAAAAAATGAAGACCCAAAGATATGGAAGAAATTGTCCATTTTTATGCTTAGCTTCAATAACGAATGAATAGCCCTGTAGAAATATGACTGGACAAAAAGGCTATGATCTAATGCAGTAGACTGGGTTGGGGAACCCAGAAAGGCCTGTCTGTCTAGATTCTCCTTGGCTTTGCTGACCATGCATTGCATCTTTCTGGCTATAGGGCAGGGCCTTCCCTGGAATGGGGGTCTTATGTCCTACAATCAAACAAGTAGATCAGATAATTTATGAATAGTTTTTGCATAGAAAGGAGGAGGAAAAATTAGAGTAATAATTTTCTATTATATGGCTGGCTTTGGAGAAAAGGGGTTCTGGTTTCTATGACCTGCCTTGGGAAAGAGAGATTCTACTTTCTATGACTAGCCTCAGGGGAAAATGAGATTGAGAACTGGAGAACAGGAGAAGGTCAGAGAAGAATTTTGCTTCTCATGCCTTCATTTTGGGGGTGCCTTCATTTCTGAGCCCCAACATCCCAATCTTACAGATGAGGAGACTGAGGCATAGAAAGGTCATAAAATTCACCCAAGGTCACCAGAGGTAGTAGATGGCAGGGTTGGGCATTGAACCCAAAGGGTTTGACTCCAGAGTCTGTTCTTAATCATGTACTAGATTTCAGTGCCAAACATATATCATAAAATTGCAATTCTGAAGTTTATTCTTTAAAAAACCTTAACTTTATTCTCATTTCATAAGGGTAATATCCAAAGACAGCACAAATCACTATTTTTAACCTTCGGATTTAAAATAAAAGTCTTCATCATGTTTCTTAGTGATTTGGTTGTTCTGTGAGATAAGCAAGTAGATCCTTACTTCCATTGGCTGTATGCAATATCTCAATAAATGAAGTCAAATTGAAAAAAGAAAGAGTAGAATGTAGGCTCTGGGATCTCTTTGCCTATATTTTGTTCCCCGGTAACATTAACTGGCCGTGTGATCTTGAGCAAGTCACTCAAACCCCTCTTTGCCTCGCTTCCCCAATTTGTAAAATAGGGATAATATTTTCAACCTCATAGAGTTTTTGTGAGGATTCATTGAGAAAATCCACATAAAGCACCCAGACAGAGCTTGGCATTTAAAATAAATGTAATAATAATAAATGTTTACTGTCATTATTTAATCCAGCTGCTACATTGAATGGATTTGATTTTGTTGTCCAAAAACTTACCTCTTCAGTGAGTTTCCAAGATAATTTTCACTTAATTCTGAATATCCTATTTCTCATAGCAACTTTTTCATCTGAACCAGATTCAGAAGGATTTTATATATTTTGTAGTTTACCCTTGTAAGACCATGAGATTATCCCTACATATTAACCTGTCACCCAGGTTTTGAAGATTTTTCAGATTCATTTGTTTAAAATAGTTTAAAAGACAAAGTCAATGCCCAAAATTGGAGTCCAGAAATGGAGTGGTTTCATCTGTTCCAACACTGCACAGTTTGAATTCTTTCCATCTAGTCTTGAATGCCATCACTTTGATGGAGTGAATTGTAATTCTTGACACACAACAACCAATGCCTCACATGCTATTCCTTAACCATGGAATTTACTCAGTTATTCTTTTCTTTCCTGTCCTGTGGTTCTTGAAATAATTCCTCTTTTATATTGCTATTATCCCTCTGTCCACGGCCTCCCACCACACCTATCACTCTCAAGTAACAAGATCATGGCCTTTGATATGCCATCAAAGTCTTCAAAAGACCCAGCATCTTCATTGCCCTTCACAAATCATCATTAGCTTTCTTGAGCACATTTTTTCACAGGAGATAATTGTCATGACATGTCCTCAATTCCTTTCTAATGAAAATAGAGCGTAACCCAAGGCTTTTCCAAATCTGAACAAAAGAATTTCATCCCAGTCACACATAACACAGTCATAGCCAGCTGTCAGTTCAATGGCTTAACAAATGCAGATTGAACATCATTTGTGTCATGCATGATAGGTACAAACATGGCTAAGACACAGCCCCAGTGGAGCCACAGGGATTCTCATCTACTGGTAAGAGTGTAAATTGGAACAAAACTTGAGAAAACAGCTTGCCACTATTATTGATGCTGAAGATGTATGCTTTGACCCAGCAACTCCACTGGGTCAGTATTTATTCCAGGGAAATCCAGCTCATGCACTCCCAGAGAAATGTATAAAAATGTCACAGAAGCATTGTTCATAACAGCCCCAAACTAGAAACAACCCAAATGCCCATCAACATGTGAATGCATAAATCCATTGTTATATATTTTTTTCAGTGGAATACAAAGGTGATTATCAATTAATGGCAGCTGCAGACAACACTGGTGAATCTCATGAACAATGATGAAAAGAGGCCAGACACAAAAGATTACATAAAGTATGATTTAATTTATATAAAGTTCAAAAAGATATAACTAAATCACACTATGGTATGGTACAGGCAGTAAATAAAAGGTAAGTCAGGAAATAGTTACCATAAAATCAGAAGATAATGGTTACTTCTAGCAGAAAGGGAGTGAGTTGTCATGGAGGCTTCAGGACTACCATTCATATTTTCTTTCTTAACCTGCGGGGTTGCTTCGCAGTTATCAATTTATACTCATGCAACAATATATTTACACTGTGTGTACTTTTCTTATATGTATTATATATAATAATTAAAATGTTTTTAAAGAGGTAAATTTGTAAGAAAAAAAAGATGAAAACAACACACTCCCCCTTTACTTCAACTGAACGCAGAATTCATGGAGCACCTAAAGATTCTGAAAAGTAAATCACAGCAGGTGGATTGGAGAAGATGGGAATTTATGCCACCAAACCAAGGTGAGTCTACCATTGCTTTTCCTCCAGTATCCCCCCACCTGAATGCAATACAGGTTGAAATTGAGAAGTGAGCATGTGTGTGAACAGACTGAGCTCCAAAAGAGACCTTCTAGTTCCGGCTCCAAGCACAGGAAACAGAACTGCTCACACTCAGAGGGAGTGTGGAGATCTCCATTTCTTCCTTCTCTCTGTTTGCTCATACCCAGTCCACAAACCATCCTGTAATGTTGGTAACAGAGGCCTCTACAGAAGGTCACAGGAGCCAACATTCTGAGGGAGGGGACCTATGACTCAAGAGATGAGGCAAACACTGATTGCTTTTAAAAAATTAGAATCCTTCTAGAGTTACAGAAAAGTTGTAGTTTCTAAATATTCCACATCCAGTGTCCCTACTATTAAGAGTCTTACATTAGTCTCCTTTCCTTTGTCTTCCTGCAGCTCAACCCTGGATACAGGCACAGCTAAGTGCATGACAGAGTAAGGTAACTAAAGCCCCAAACTTTCCAGCTAGAGGAAGAAAAAGAGAGTCTGAGGCAAATGTAAAGTGCCAGAGACATAAAACAGAGGAGCTCAAGGAAGTGACTGCATAAAGTGGTTCATGAATTTCTGTACTCTTATCCAAGCCGTGCCTGCGTGGATTTCATCCTAATCAGCATACTTAATGAACTCAGAACTGAACTAACATACCACACGCCAGGTTCTTAGACTGACCACTGGGTGGTACAGACATCTGGTGTATTTAAGTATCACTACCAAAGTTTGAAAACTGAACTGATATTGGAACCACAGTCCACAGAAGAGGGTTTGAAACTTGCTACCTGAAGCTAACCAGATTGATTTCCTGCTGGAAAAAAAAAATTTCTATAGGAGTTAAATAAGGCCCAAAGTTGCATAATATCCTGTTCAAAATGTTCAGATCCAGTCCAAAATTATTCAGCATACCAAGAACCAGAAAATGCTTAACTCCCATGGGGAAAACAATCAACAGATGTCAATGCCCAGATGTCACAGATGTTGGAATTACCTGACAAAGACGTTAATGTAGTCATTACACAAACGTTCTAACAATTGTAAAAAAGTTTGAAATTAATTTAAAAAAGAAAGCCTTATTAAGAAATAGAAGATATATTAAAAAATCACATAGAAATTGAAAAATATAATAATCGAATTTTTTAAGAAAAACTCACTGGACGGACTCCACTGCAGATTGGAGATGACAGAGGGAGTATTCAGTGAATGTGAAGGCACATCAGTAGAAATTATCCAATACAAAAAACAGAGAGAGAAAAAGATTGAAAAAAAAATAACAAACAGACCCTCAGATACATGTGGCACTATAGCAAAACAGAATGTATAATATTCATATCATCAGAGTCCAAACAGGAGAAGAGAAAGCATGATGGTAACAAAATACTTGAAAAAATAAAGGCTTAAAATTTCCCCAAGTGTGGCAAAAGCTAAACCTACCGATTGAAGATGCTCACTAAATCCTAAACAGGATCCATGCAAAGAAATCCACATACAAAGATATATCACACTCAAACTGCTGAAACTGGGCTGGGCACAGTGACTCACACCTATAATCCCAGCACTTTGGGAGGCCAAGGCGGGCAGATCACGAGGTCAGGATTTCAAGAACAGCCTCACCAACATGGTGAAAACCTGTCTCTACTAAAAATACAAAAATTACCTGGATGTGGTGGCATGCGCCTGTAATCCTAGTTACTCAGGAGGCTGAGGCAGGAGAATCGCTTGAACCTGGGAAGTGGAGGTTGCAGTTAGCTGAGATCACACCACTGCACTCCAGCCTGGGCAACAGAGCAAGACTCTATCTCAAAAAAAAAAAAAAAAAACAAAACCACAAACAAACAAGAACTGCTGAAACTGGAGGCAAAGATAAAGATATTGAAAGAAGCCAGAGAAAAACAACATGTTACCTAAAGGGAAACAATAATTCAGATGACTACGTTTCTTATCAGAAATCATGGAGACCAGAACTATAATAGCACTATTAATGTTGGTACTATAATATTTAGTATTATAATATTAGTACTATAATATTACTACTTATGTAATACTACTAATAGTAGTAGTATGTGGTACTACTAATACAGTAGTAACATATATTTCTGTAGCATTAGTTCTCTAATATTTTTGAAATGCTGAAAGAGAAGAATTACCAATCTAGAATTCTATAGCTTGTGATCTATATAAAAAATGAAGTGAAAATAAAGGCATTCCCAGATGAAGACAAACCAAATTCCTTTATAACACTTCTTGAAAGCAACCTGCTTTAAAGGAATTGTTAATTGGGTTTTTTTACTTTTATTTTAGGTTCAGGAGTACATGTGAAGGTTTGTTATTTAGGTAAACTTGTGTCATGGAGGTTTGTAGTACAGATTATTTGTTAAAGGAAATTTGTCAGACAGAAGGGACATGAACCCAGAGTATCTTGGAATATTAAGAATGAAGATGGTAACTTGGTAAGGTGATGGATATGTTAATTAGCTTGATTTAAGCTTTCTACAATGTATAAATATATCAAAACTTCTCACCATAGCCTATAAATACAATTATTGTATTTATAAATATAATATTTATAAATATTTAATAAATACATAAATAATAAATAAATAAATACAATATTTATAAATACAATTATTGACAAAGAATACAATTATTCTTTGTCAATTAAAAAGGATGGAGGAAGGGCAAAATAAATAGGAAATATCAGGGTAATATAATAGACAATTCTCTCCTTTTGCATTTTAAAAAATACATTTCACAGTTGAAAGTAAAACTATATGATTTTTCTGACGAAAATTTTAATAAACTTAGATGTAATATATGAGATAAAATAAAGGTGGGAGGGTAAAGGGACCTATATGATGATAAGGTTCCTATGGTCTGCTTGGAGTGAGGAAACTTGATTATAAGTACATTGTGATAGGTTAAGTATGTATATTGTTATCCTTTTTTGAACATTAACATTGCTATAAAAAGTGATATAGTCAAAATCTACACATATAAATTAAAATAGAATATTTCAAAGTGTTCGAATAACCCAAAAGAGGGCAGGAAAGGGGAAATAGAGGAATAAAAACAAAGGAAAAAAAATAAAAAATAAAATGACACATCTAAACCAAAACATATCAATTATTACATTCAATGTAAATGGTCTAAATACACTAAATAAAACACAAGGATTTTCAGGATTTATAAAAACACATGACCCAAGTATATGCTGTATATAAGAAACTCACTTTTTATATAATGATATAGGTAGGTTAAAAGTAAAAAAAAAAAAAAACTAAAAATGACATATCATGCAAACATTAATAAAAAGAAAACTGGCGTGGCTATACTAAATGGACTTCAGAGCAAAGAAAATTATCAGGAGTAAACAGGGGCAAAACCTGATGTAAGGGTCAATTCAACACAAAAAATAATAATCCGAAATGTATATGTAAGCCAAAAAGTTTCAAAATACATGAAGTACAACTGACAGAATTGGAGATAGAAATAGACAAATGTACAATTGTTTGATATTTTAAAACTTCTCTTTGATATTTTAAAACTTCTAGTGATAGAGCTAATAGACAACAACTCAGCAAGAATGTCAACTGAACAACAATGTTAACAACTGGATGTAATTGACATTTATAGAGCATTCCACCCAACAACAGTAGAATAAGCATTCTATCCAGGTGCACATGGAATATTCACCAAGATAGACTACTTTCTAAGCCATAAGACAAACCTTAACAAATTAAAAAGAATTGAAATCATATGGGTTATGTTCTTTGACTATAATGGAATTAAACAATAACAGAAAGTCTGGAAAATTCCAACTCACCTGCATATTATCAGTACACTTCTTAATAATCAGTAGATCAAAGAGAAAGTGTCAAGAAAAATAGTAAAATAATTTGAACTGAATAAAAATATACTATACCAAATCTGTGAGCTGCAGTTAAAGCATTGCTTAGAGAAAAATTATAGTATTAAATATTAACATTAGAAAAGAAGAAAAGACTCAGATGAATAATTTTCACCTTAAAACCTAAAAAAAAAAAGAAAAGCAAAATGAACCCAAGGTAAGCAAAAGAGAAAAAACAAAGGGCAGACTCAATAAAATTGAAAAAAAAAATCAGTGAAACCAAAAACTGTTTCTGAAAGATTAAAAAACTGATAAGCCTCTAGTGAGACTGATTTTAAGAAAACAAGCCACTGTAATCCAAGCACTTTGGGAGGCTGAGGCGGGCGGATCACGAGGTCAGGAGATCAAGACCATCCTGGCTAACATGGTGAAACCCCGTGTCTACTAAAAATACAAAAAATTAGCCAGGCATGGTGGTGGGCACCTGTAGTCCCAGCTACTCGGGAGGCTGAGGCAGGAGAATGGCATGAACCCGGGAGGTGGAGCTTGCAGTGAGCCGAGATTGTGCCACTGCACTCCAGCCTGGGCGACAGAGCGAGACTCTGTCTCAAAAAAAAGAAAACAAGCCACAAATTATCAATATCAGAAATAAAAAACAGAATATCATTGCAGACCCTACAGACATTGAAAGGATTAAAAGGGATTATTATGAACAATTCTACTAAACAACTCACATAAATCTGACTAATCGTCAAAAATGGACCAATTCCTTGGAAAACCACAGACTACTATAACTCACTCAAGAGGAAATAACCCAAATAGAATTATAACTATTAAAGACATTGAATTCAGAGTTTAAAAAACCTTCCAAAAAAGAAATCTCTATGCCCAGATAGTTTCACTTGCAAATTCTCCCAAGCATTTAAGGGATAAATAATACCAATTCTACACAGTCTCTTATGGAAAATATAAGCAAAGGGAACACTTTTCTGACTCATTTTATGAGACCAGGATTACCCTGATACCAGGAAGAGTTCAGGGCTGGCAATACAGAATTGACAGTCAGCAGTGTAGTTAATAGCAAGGTAATGTAAAATGCATGCAATTAGCTGGGATTGCCCAAGAAGCCCATGTCTAGTGAAAGTAACTGAAGGCTATAAGAGAACACTGGGAAACTACCAGGGGCTGTGGCTGGCAACTGGAAGGAGGTAAATGAAAGAGACCCAGAAGTGGTCACAGTTGAGGCCAAAATAAGCAACAGCTTCAAGAAAAAACAAGAGGTCAGTACCATTAAATGAAGCAGCATGATTCAAGACAATAAGAAACATATCTGCAATTGTTACCCAGTTAGGCCTGTAGGCTTCCAAGCCTGTCATTGGGCTCAAATCTTTGCTTCACTATCTAACTCAGTTAACCTTGTTGTGCCTCAATTCCTTCCTCTATAAAATGAGACTGATAACATTCCCTAGTTCAAAGGTTGCTATGAAAGAGAAATGAGCTAATGGGAGCAAAGGTACTTGGCATAGTTGTCAGGAACAGCAAAAGTGCTCAATGACTATTAGCTGCAAATGTTACCGTGACCTTCCCAACAACTTTTCTGGCAAGCATCAGACCTAACAAGTGAAGGCAAAATGAAGTCAGCAACCAACCCCTCACCTCATGTGTTCTCAATGAGACCAGCAGGGGCCGGTCTCATTGAAAACATATCACTCTTGCCCTTGGAGTGAACTCTTCCAAATATAATAAAAAGGCAGTATGGTATTTAATATTTGTACAGGAATGGTAACCTACCTCTCCAAATATAATGGTCCTAGCCCTTGATTCTGCCACCAACGATCTGTGTGAACCTGGGCAACTCCATTGACTTTCTGAGCCTAGAGTCCTTCATGGATACTTACACTTATCCTTCCCATCTCATATAGTAGCTGTGAGGGATTCATCAGCAAGTAGTGCAGCCTCTTCCCCTCACTGGATATTCCTGAGAATCACAACGATGTGGTTGTGTCTGAAGTTGCCAGCCTGAGTCTGACCTGGGAGATTTTGAAGATCAGCAGGCCAGTTATAGATGACTAATGCAGTGACTGCGTTACTCCATGGAATTTCAAATCCCCCTGTAACATGCCTTCCAAGAGGTCAAGAGGCCATTTAGTCTCTCTGCTTCCATGCTATTCAGCAAGACTAAAACCCAAAAACCCGCTCCACATTGAAACAACTCTCATCCTCCAAAAGTCCTCCTTTAAGAAATGGAAGAAGAATCACCAACACCAGAGTCAGAAGACCTAGGTGCCAGGCCAAGTCTTAAAAACTAACGATTTGTGGGATCTTGGACAAGACATTATCTCTCCATGGAACTCTGTTTTCTCATCTGTAAAATAAGTGTATTGTCCTGCCTTCTTACAAGTTCAGTTCTGGCTATTGGATTCTTCATCCTAAGATGAAAGGAAGAGAGAAGTCCTCCTGAACTTTAATAAGAGACTCTTGTTGGATGAACCATCTAAAAATGAAACAGCTACAATGTTAACCATCAGTTTTTCAGGGTCTCTGGGAGCCACATAGGGAGCTAAATAAAAGCAAGGAAGTTTCCACTTAAAATACTTCATTGATTTTTAACAAGGAATTTTCCTCTCCCTTTCTCTCTCTCTCCCTCTCTCTCTTTCTCTCTGGTTAGCTTTTAACGTTCATGGAAGCATAGGTTTTAAACGTACCATGGCACAAATGCAAGATGACAGTGATGCAAAATGGTACAAGAGGAACTTATTTTCATAACTGCCTCTCATTCAGGGGCACAGAATGAATCAACACAGCATCATTGCCCAATTATTTCTCCTCCTGAAACTCATTAAGGCTTTCTCAATTCATAATCAATACATTAAAGTCTCTCTGTTTTATAAAACAGTTCATCAATATTTTATGGCTTTAATAATTTATGTTTTATTACAGAAGCAGATGGAAGCCTACAGCACACTTAATCTCTAGAGACAACAGGGAAGAAAGAAAACTTGAGTTGCAGATTCCAGACTTAAATAACCAGCTTTGCTGGGTCCCTGCCTCCAGTGTGAAGCTTTGTGGGGAGGGCTGGTAGCTGGGGGATAGCCCACCTGACCATAAACTTCATGAAGGGAGGGACAAGTTCCAATTATTTTTTGACCCTCTACCTAGTGTCAAATACAGGCTAAGTACTCAACAGGCATTATGTCGTTTAATCTCTCCAAGAGCCATACAAAAACAATAGTATCGTCCCCACAGCACAGATGAAGAAACTGAGACTCAGAGTTAGCAAGTATCTTAGCCAAGTCTACACGGCCAGGATATGGTAGAGCTGGGATTCAGGTTAGGTCATCTCCAGCATCCATGCAGTTAACATCTCTGCTATAACTATGATCAACATCCCCTCTTTTGGAACTATGTATTTATTGAGCACCAACTTTTGTAAGCACTGGGGACGCACAGATGAACTACATGGGCAGGGAGCTCTGACCTCATGGAGCTAACATATGAGTGGGGTTAGACCATAAGCAAGTAATGGTTTTTAAAAATTAAGAGAACTCAGAACTTCCACCAGATCTCATCCAATTCCCCCCTTGCAACAAGGCTCCTGCAGCCCATTTCACTACTCAAGCCATTGCATTCCTTGGCCATCTCAGTTGAGCTCATGTGGCCAAGAGCAAAGACCTGGACCGGAAAGAGGAGAGAAGACTTTCTACCGGACTAGGTTTCAAATAAGTATCCCATCAGGTACATGTTTTGATGAACACTTTCTCCTGGGATTATGTTTCCCAATGCACTCATGAGGGTTCTCCTGAGTGTTTATGTTTTCCCAGAGGCTGTTATTCCCAGGGGAGCTGTGGTTTGCCGCAGACCCAGGACAGCAGCTTCTTTCATAAACGCACAAAGAAACTTCAGTCTGGTGGGAGCATTTTGCTTCAGTTACCAATGTGAAGGCGAATGTACAAAGGCTCATTTCCCTATAGTTTCATAGTCTGCTTATGAATCTGTCTCCCACGTTAATTTCTTAAAACTGAGGCTTATGTTTCAGCCAGTGTTAGACCTCATTCCCTAACACAGTGCTTGACACACAGTAGGTGCTTCATAAATGTTGCATGAATGAATCATTGTTTGAGTTCAAAGTCAGGACTGCCCTTTACTTCATGTGCAAACTTGGGCAAGTTACCCAACCGCTGCGCATCAGCTTCTTCATATGTAAATTGGAGCATAGATAGTGCCTACCTCATAAAGCTCTCATGAGGAATAAATAAATTAATAGGTGGGAAACTCTGAGAAGAATGCATGACACGTGGTGTATACAAAATAAATGATAGTTTCCTCATTTTTACAGGTACATAGTCAAAGGCTGTTTTCATGATGAACATAATTTTTCTATGCATATTTTCCCAGTGGGTATTTGTTCCATTCAGGATATGTTTCTATAGGTATTTTTCATACTAAGTTTTTTTTTTTTTCTGGTAGACGTTTTCCTCTGCGCATCTTTTTTTTCTTTTTTCTTTTTTTTTTTTTTGAGACAAAGTCTCGCTCTGTTGCCCAGGCTGCAGTGCAGTGGCGCGATCTTGGCTCACTGCAACCTTTGCCTCCCGGGTTCACACCATTCTCCTGCCTCAGCCTGCTGAGTAGCTGGGACTACAGGCGCCCGCCACCATGCCTGGCTAATTTTGTTGTATTTTTAGTAGAAACGAGGATTCACCATGTTAGCCAGGATGGTCTCGATCTGACCTCACGATCCGCCCACCTCATGCATCTTTTTTGAGTCGTCATTTCTCCTAGTAAAATTTTTCCTGAAAGGCATTTTTCCTAGAAAGAATATTTCTCCAGTATGTCATCACCCTCCCTCGCTTTTTTGGCAATGATTTTTCCAATGGATACTTTTCCTATTAAATATTTTCACAGTGAACATTTTCATAACGAAAATTCTCCCTAGAGAATATTTTTTTCTTGGGAGGGGGGATTTTTAATAAAAATAATTTCCGATGTATATGTTTTCCAGTGTTTTTTTGCTGGAAAGTATATGTTTCCATGGGATATTTTTTCCAGAATGAAATTTGTCTTCAGTAGCTGTTTTTTTTTCCCCCGAATAGACATTTGTCCTACAAGTTATATGTATTTTCCCCAAGAAATACCATCCATGTTATTAGATTGAATTGTGTATCCTCCTCAGAATTGATGTTTTTCACATTGGACTTCTAACTCCAATGTGACTGTATTTGGAAATAAGGTCTTTAGGAGGTAGTTAGGGTTAAATTAGGTCGTAAGAGTGAGGCTCTGATTCAGTAGGACTGGTGTCCTTATAAGAAAAGAGAAAGAGACACCAGGAATGCCTGCACAGAGAGGAAAGGCCATGTGAGGACACAGTGAGAAGGTGACCATCTGCAAGGCATGGGAAAAGGCCTCAGGAGAAACCCACGCTGCCACGCCTTGAACTTGGACTCCCAGCCTCCAGAACTTGGACAAAATTAATTTCTGTTGCTTAAGCCTCCCAGTCTAGTATTGTGTTATGGCAGCCTGAGCCATCTAATACAACTTCCTGATGTCATATTTTGCAGTCTGGAGCTGAATCAGTGATAACCTCTCTTTTTTAGGCCGCTTTCTGCTGGTCACCCAAAGGCATGCCCTGCTCACCCCACATGGAACACTAAAGGGCTAACTCCACAGAAGCAGAAAGTCTATATTGACCTATGGCTCCTTTTTGTGCTGATGAAAAACTATGCTGTCCTTAATCCAATGTATTTTCCAGCTTGCAGCTCTCCATTACACAAGCCCTGCAAAACCAGCTCAATAATAAGTGTCCTGTTTCCATTAATGCAACCCTGGGGTTGTGCCAAAAAGGATGGCAGAATCGTGGAGATCTCCGGAGTGCAGAGAGGTGGCTTGGGTCCCTTTGCCTGGGTAATCATATTAGGGGAAGGGGTCACACCCGAGGGTTCTCCCCTCCAGGTCCCTTTCAACCAGAGTATGGCTCCCGAGACACGGGTGCATGTTTAGATCCTGTCCACTAGAGGGCTTCCAATGGTGACGGTCATAGCAGCGGAGAAGAGGCACCTTACACATTCAAACAGCAGACTCTGGATAAACTTAATGATTCTAGGTGAGCTTACTGAGAAATGCCAGTCAAAACAGCCTGGAAAAGCCAGAGCCCAAGACTGGATGGTAGAGACCACATTTGAAAGAGCTACTTGATCTTTAGCCTCCAGCATCACATTCTCCAGCTCTTACCTCCACCCAAACCCACCCCTAACACATTGTCTGATGGATTCCATTCCTTCTACACAACTAAACACTAAAAGTCCTTTTATTCTCTTCTTATCTCCATTAAATTTGTTCTCAACAACAAAAATAATCAAAAATTAATTCATACTGAAATTCAAACAACTGATAACAACAAATAATGTTACTCTCTTTCTCCCTCCTCCATTTCCTTTTTTTTTTCTCACACATTTGTTTGAAAGAATCAAAGGCTTATATTAAAGAAATAAATATCTACAGTGTGGGATTTCCAGGATTAGCTAATTGGGGGAGGGATGATTAGCAGGTGGCGAGACATCAGCTGTATGCCTCTCTCTCCCCATCCTGCATCTAGGAAATTAGAGGAGTAAACTTGTATTGTGTGGCATTGAAGTGGTACCCAGTACAGATTCTTCAGTACTGAAGAAGGCATGAAATACTCTTCCCAGTACCCAAGTCAGCACAAGGCATTTAATAGAGTGAAAACTCTGTGAAATCAGATTCGCCATGTGTAGTAGAAGGAATAACACCGCCCTCCCATACCCGACCAGAAGTCCACGTTCTGATCCCCAGAACCTGTAAATATGCTACCTTACATCACAGAGATGAGATGACTCTGGGTGATCCAGGTAGGCCCAACACAATCACAAGGGTCCTTGTAAGAGGAAGACAGGAGGGTCAGAGTCAGACAGAATTGCAAGGCCATGCTGCTGGTTTTGAGGCTGGATTAGGAGCCAAGAAATTCAGGTGGCTTCCAGAAGCTGGAAAGGGCAAGGGACTGGATTGTCCTCCAGAGTGTCCAGAAGGAACACAGTCCTGCTAATACCTTGACTTTAGCTCAGCAAAACCCATTTCAGACTTCTGACCCCCAGAATTGAAAGAGAATCCATTTGTACTATTTAAGCCACTAAATTCACGGCAACTTATTACAGCGGCAATAGGAAATTAACATGCCATGGTCCAAGCCACTGTCATGTGGATGCAGAATTTTTCAATCAGCCCAGAGCTGACCCTTAGATATCCCAGTACAGTGAAGAGTTGATCTTTCAAGATCCAGCTCAGATGCCACCTGCATCATCAGCCTTCTCTGCTGCAATGGGAGGAAGTTAACTCCCCCTCCTCCTGGCCAAAGAAAAGAGGACCAACATGCATGGAGCATAACAACACACTGTAGCAGCATCTTCAGAAATCCTCATTCCATCCCACCACTGCCTGAAGGATATCGCTGTCCTTCAGGTGTGCAGGTATTGCACAGGTGTGGAAATAAGCTCAGAGAGATTACGCAGGTCCAGAAGGCACAGTTAGGGAATGACGCCGTTGGAAGTCCACCCATTCTCTCCTGTTCCTCACCTCCGGCTGTCTCCAGAGCACCCTAGCCACCCTGTGGCATCTGTCACTTCCACCTCACCTCTAAGAACAGTCATGCATCCCTTAACAATGGGGATACACTCTGAGAAATGCATCATTAGGAGATTTCATCATTGTGCGAGCTTCATAAAGCACACTTCCATAAACCCTAAGTGGTCTGGCCTACTACACATCAAAGCTATATGTTGTAGCCTATTGCTGCTAGGCTACAAACCTGCAGAGCATGTGACTGCTCTGAATGCTGTAGGCAGTTGTAAGACGATGGTAAGTATTTGTGTATCTAGCTATATCTGAACATAGAAAGGGGATAGTAAAAACACACTATTATGATCTTATGGGATCAAGATACACAGCCTGTCATTGATGAAATATTATTATGCTGTGCATACCTGTATTTGTATCTATTTCTTGCCTTGAAATGGTAGGTCCTTGAGGGTTCATGCTTGCTTCAACTTGACTCTCCCCAACCCTGGCATCTAGCAGATGCTCACCAGATATCTGTGAAAAGAAAGGGGGTGATAAGCAGAAGGAGTGGGGAAGAAGGAAAGGATAGATGGAGACAGACAGGAAGGAAGGAGAGAGGGAGGGAGGGAGGGGGAAAGGGAAAAGGGAAGAAAGGACAGAATCAAAAGAAGCTTTGGGCATATCCCCTCTTGTCCGTTGTGGCATTTCTCTGGCCTGGCACCATCACTTAGTGCTTGGTACCCACTAATTCTGGTGGGTATGGCCAGTGCTCACCAATATCCATGTGCTCTTCAGGGACACACAGCTAGACTATATTTTCCTTTTGTGGCCACGACACTGAGTTCTGCCAGCAGCATGTGAGCAGAAATGATATGTGCCACTTCTCTTTTTTTTTTTTTTTTTTTTGTGACACGGAGTGTTGCTCTTGTCTACCAGGCTAGAGTGCAATGGTGTGATCTTGGCTCACTGCAACCTCTGCCTCCCGGGTTCAAGCGATTCTCCTGCCTCAGCCTCCTGAGTAGCTGGGATTACAGGCACCTGCCACCATGCCTGGCTAATTTTTTTGTATTTTTAGTAGAGACAGGGTTTCACTATGTTGGCCAGGCTGGTCTTGAACTCCTGACCTCAGGTGATCCACCCACCCCGGCCTCCCAAAGTGCTGGAATTACAGGCATGAGTCACCATGCTTGGCCGATACATGCCACTTCTATGTCTGACCCACACAAACCTCTCATGATCCTTACACTTTTTCTCCAGCTAAACTGAGATGTCTCTGAGGACTTGCAGATGGGAGGAGCCAGGAGGTATAGTAGAAGGAGCCTGGGTTCCTGAGGGACTCTGTGGAACAGAGCCCCTGCCTAGACACACTGGTCTGTGATGAGAGCAAGAAATAACACTTTATTTCAGGAAGCCACCAAAATCTGGAGGGGGTTCACCACAGCAATTTACTGGCCCTCTCTGAGCCTCAATTTTAGGATTAGTAAATGAAGTGATCACGTGATACCTAGGATGCCTTGTCAGTAAAAATTCTGCAGGTCTCTGACTTTCTCCAGAATTTAATCCCAGGTCTCAGGCAATAAAGAAAAACCAAGTGCATTCATCCACCAAGCGGGCTCTTAGTGTTACGTATGTTACTCTCTGAACAGATCCATTTCTTTTAATAATAGAACAGCAGATCCATCCATAACTGGCTCATTTTCGAAACAGGGTTTCGATTGACTGGGCCTCAGAGCATTTGAGTTCCGTAACATAAAATCAGTCAGCAATTGACTGAATTTAACTAATTTCCACTTGTGAGATGGCTCCTGATTTAAGTGCCCTTTCTTATCATTTTCCCCATCACCCAGCCTCTTGCCAGCTGTATACCTACATGAATATTCTACATCTTCCAACACAGCGGGCTCTCCAGGGGACCGTCCACCTGGAAGGAACAAACGCACACGTCTTGATTTCCTCTGTATGGGAAGTTTGGGGCATACCCAGAGGGAACGGCAACTCTTTCCCCAGGCTAAACTTATTCATCCACAGTAATGAAATCTTTCTGAGTTCCCAGGATATTGACTACAAGGGAGACCCACCAGAGCAGGAAAGAGAATAAAGGTGGGTTTTGCTTGTTTGATGATGATTGATCTTCCTAATGATCTCCCTGTTTCCCTGCTTGCTCTCTACAGTTTACTCTCAACACATCAGCCAGGGTGCTGCTGTCAAAACACAAGTCAGAACATGTTGTGCCTCTGCTCATAGAAGTCCAAAGAATTCTCTTACTCCAAGTAAAACTAAAGTCCTGGCCAGGCGCGGTGGCTCACGCCTGTAATCCCAGCACTTTGGAAGGCTGAGGCGGGCGGATCATGAGGCCAGGGGTTCAAGACCAGCCTGACCAATATGGTGAAACCCCATCTCTAGTAGAAATACAAAAACTAGCCAGGCGTGGTGGCGCGTGCCTGTAGTCCCAACTACTCTGGAGACTGAGGGAGGAGAAATGCTTGAACCCAGGAGGCAAAAGTTGCAGTGAGCCAAGATCGCGCCATTGCACTCCAGCCTGGGCGACAGAACGAAATTCCATCTAAAAAAAAAACAAACAGAAACAAACAAACAAATAAAAAACCTAAAGTCCTTGCAAAGGCACCCAAAGCCATACATTTTCTTGTCCGACCATATTTCCTTCTCGTCTCCCACTGCTCCCTCCATCCCTGCCACAGGTACCTCCTAGTTATGGTGGATCTGACTCCCACCTCAGGGCCTTTGCATTTGTTCTTTCTTCTTCCTGGAATGCTTTTCTCAAGATTATCTTCACATCCTCCCACACTTCCTTCAACCCTTTGTTCTAGTAGCAAGGTCTTCCCTAAAATCCTTATTTAGGGAATAAGGATTCTCCATCAATGACATTGCCGGTTCCCCTTTCCTGATTTTATTTTTCTCTCTTGTCTTGGTCACCTTATTATTTATGCTCCAGCAGACCTATAACCAATTCTATTGCATTGTCTGCCCACTCCCTCCTGAATGTAAGCCCCCTGAGTAAGTGCTACTGTTCTTTGCTGCCATTCTCCCGGCACCTAGCAGATGGGCTGACACACGGTGAGTGCTCGGTAAATATTTGTTGAATTGAATTGAAATTTTGTCCTGTCCTTGTATTTAGCAAATGATATTCTAGGCTCCTTGTAATTAACATACTGTATTATGTGCCTTGGACAGGTGTTAATTTTTGTTATTTTTATTGGGTTGGTGCAAAAGTAATTGTGGTTTTGCCATCGATTTTAAAGGCAAAATCTACTATTACTTTTGCACCAACCTCATATGGTAATTCCTCTGTAATTCCAGTTGTGTCACTGTCACTCAAGGGTAGAAAATGGAATGGCTCTTTGAAAAGCCAGCTTGGGGAGGAAGAAGAGTGTGGTGGGAGTTCCTGAATCACTGGGACCCCTTTCGCTCAGCACTGGAGATACTTGGATCATAGCAGAGGTTTCTAACCTAAGATGCAGGGACCCCCAAGCTTCAGAGGACCTGGAAACACCCAGCCAGGACTTTAGTTTTACTTGGAGTAAGATAATTATTTGGACCACCTGAAATCATAGGAAAAAAGATCTGTGTGTGTGTGTGTGTGTGTGCGCGTGTGTGTGTTAAACATAGATGTATGCTCACTCATTCTTCTCACAATATCTACTAGTGCCAACTCCTTCCTGGGCTCTTGAGCTACAAAGGAAACCCTGTGTAGCTTACATTCTAATGAGAAAAGAAACACTGAACGAATATATATTTCTGTAAATAATAAAGCTAAGAGGCTAAAGAATGTCCAGGCTGGCAGGCAGCTTTTTCAGGCAACATGAAATGGAAGCTCTCTTTGAGAAGATGGAATAGGAACGGAAATTCGAATTAAGTAAGGGAATAAACAGTGCAACTAGGAGGCAGAAAAGAGCAAATACAAAGACCCTGAGATGAGAACATTTTGGCAGGTGCAGGAAATGGGAAGAAGTCCAGTGGGGCTGGAGTACAGACAGCCACGGAGAGAACGGCAGGAGAGGAGGGCAGAGAGATTAAGCAAAAGGCAGGTAGCTCCTTGCAGAGCAATGTGTGGACTTTGCATTTGGATTTAATTGCCAGGATGATAGAAGTCCTGCGGAGGGGTTGTGAGTAAAGGTGTAACTTGATCTGACTTGTGCTTTAAAGGGCTCTCTCAAACTGTTGTGTGCAGAACAGACTGCAGGGGGCAACGTGGAGCAGGCAGATAACTGGGAGCAAGGCGGTGATCCACGGGAGACGGCTAGCCTGGACCAAGCAGTTGGCAATGGATAAGGTGAGACATAGGGCTGCTTGCTAATTGAATGTGGATGTATGGGCATTTAGCTGGAGAAATTCTTCATCAGACACCTGTTTCTCCTGACAGTCTGGCGTGCATTCCTGCTTCTTCTGGTGAAAGCATCTCTGCTTCACGTTTAGAACTATGCCGCCGCAATGGACGCAGTATACCCTGAACTGTTCTTCAGAGTTCCCAAACTTCCCCTGGCTGAGGAGTCAGCCCTGGACCTCAGCTAGGTCAGTGAGGCTCTCTTTCCCGGAAAACTGTCTCTTCAGTAGAGCGACATAGGTCTTAAAATGGAAACGTTCGCCCTGACAGTTGTCCCCTGAAGGGGCTGCCCATGAGTTCTGCTAGCCAGACCCTGAGGCTGCTTTGATCCTTTCCTTTCCACAAGGAGTCAGTCCATAGCCCCAGGTCAACCCTGTGGCCATTGATGTATCAGAAGCACTGTTTTAAAGTCCATGTGATGTAGGAAAACGCTATCAGACTGGGATTCAGGAAACCTGGGTCGTAGACTTGGTTCTGACACTGACTAGCCACAAGATCTTGACAAATATCTTCTCTTCTAATCCTCCACTTTTTTTTTTTTTTTTTTGATGGAGTCTCGCTCTGTCACCCAGGCTGGAGTGCAGTGGTGCAATCTCGGCTCACTGCAACCTCGGCCCCCCAGGTTCAAGTGATTCCTCCACCTCAGCCTCCCAAGTAGCTGGGACTACAGGAGCCCACCACCATGCCTGGCTAATTTTTTTTTTTTTTTTGTATTTTTGTAGAGATGGGGTTTCACCATGTTGGCCAGGCTAGTCTTGAACTCCTGACCTCAGGTGATCTGCCCACATCAGCCTCCCAAAGTGCTGGGATTACAGGCTTGAGCCACCGTGCCCAACCCATCCTTGCAAAAAAACAGAGGAGTCAGAGATGTGACCTATTGTATGCTCCTATGCCATATCCATGCACATGGCGTAGAACATTATAACCTGTAAAATGTCCATCTCTCCCACCGGCCTGGAGGAGGGGGCAGCTTTATTCATTCACAGAGAAATAGTTGCTGAGTCTCTTTCATGTGACAGGCACAATGCAATGTTCCAGGATGATTACCTGTGTCTACTCTAGCTCAGTACTAATGCTCAATAAATGTTTTCAAACAAATGATTTGATTTCAGAGTTCCTTTAGAAACTAATTAACACATTGAATGCATCTATAAGGTGATTCCAAATTGTTGTTATGAGAATTATCTCTTTAGAGATTCCTCTCCAGTTCCTACAGTCTATGAATCTATGAGTCGCTTATATGAAAGGTTAGCAATAATGGATTTTGTCTTCTGAAAATCACAGCTGCTCACTGGATGCTTCTCTTGAAGCGACACCATCAGCAGGTTATTCTGACCCGCTCATTAAGACTTCCTTAAAAGACAAGGATTAGTAGATAATTCACCTGTCTAGAAAAACAGGTGCTAACTTCCACTTTATGGCTAGGCTGGGGAGGGGGGTGGGTGGGGGGTGGAAATAAAAGCAACCGTTTCCATAGCAACAAAAATGCACACTTTAAAGAACATAGTGTCTTGCTTAAATCTATTTATAAAGAATGTGTAGGAAATACAATTAAGGAAACTAACAGCAGATGAAGTACTTGGGCTCTGGCTTAATTGTCTGTCTTCCATCATTTAGTACTTAAGAAAAATGGCTTGCTAAAAGATGGAGGGGTCAGCGGCACAGGAGGCGGCACAAAGAGGAGGATGTGACTTTCCTGCATCTCTCAGAGAGCCAAGCCCCTTCACAGCCCCTACATTCCCAACCCCAAAGTAGCAGCTCCCATTGCCCCAGTCTAGCCCTGTTCAGACAGTTTTCAAGGCCGGCATGAGGTGTGGGTTAGTAGGTCACCACCTTAGAGACCTGATTTAATTGTCCCCTGTGGCTCACTAGACTGCAAAAACCTTTACTGTTGACCTGAAATTTTCACCAGGAGATTCCTAAAGGTGCATTTGTAAGCCCTGCTTCATTTCCAGAATTCATCATGTTACCTGGATGCTTTGCCAGGACTCGAAACTGAAATCCAAAGTCAGCTCCTCTTCCTGAACAGCTGACTTCTGTCCCTTTACCCTTTCTGGCATTCAGGACCGATACCGCTCACATTCTTCAATCTTGCCCACTTTTTCTTCTCAATTGTCTCTGCAACCTTTCAACTGTCATGACCCAGGACTACACAAAATGCAGTAGAGATGGTCTCATTCAGGTCTTCCGAAGGATTTTTTTTTTTTTTTTTTTTTTTGAGACAGAGTCTCGCTCTTGTTGCTCAGGCTGGAGTGCAATGGTGCGATTTCGGCTCACCACAACCTCCACCTCCTGAGTTCAAGTGATTCTCCTGCCTCAGCCTCCCGAGTAGCTGGGATTATAGGCATGCGCCACCATGCCCACCAAATTTTTTGTATTTTTAGTAGAGACGGGGTTTCACAATGTTGGCCAGGCTGGTCTCAACCTCCTGACCTCAGGTGATCCATCTGCCTTGGCCTCCCAAAGTGCTGGGATTACAGGCGTGAGCCACCGCGCCCGGCCCTGAGGGACATTTTTTGGCTCCCTTCCTGGGCCTCACTGCTCTCCCACCAGACACTCTTGTCCTGGGCTCCAGACTCTGGGGGATTCCCAAGGGTCTAAGGCCAGTCTGCTAAGCAAAACCTTGACCCTGTGTTTCTTGAACTTCAGAGCCTACTCCTCAAGGATAAGATGCTGAAGCAGCCACGTGCTGGTGTTGTACCTTGGACAGTTCCATATGATGAGCTCAGCTTTCACCCATTCTGCAGGAGCTGTGGTTCTGCAGCTCCCTGACCAGGGACAGCTTCATCCTGCACAGGACCATGCATGCAGGGTGTGCTCAATCATCAGTGGTGACTGCCGAACTCCTTCCATCATTCTCACATGCTCCACAGCAACCACAAACACTTGTTTAACCTGGAAAGAGGAAAAGGCCACCCCGGAATAGTCATGCTTCCCTCTCACTGAAGTGAACCAGATGGGGCCACATGCAATCAGATGGACTCCTAAACAGAACAAAATGTCACTCTCCTTGTATCATGGTTGTCTCATGGGTTGACATACCCAACACTAAAAAATAAAGAAAAAAATTGTAAATACAGCAGTCTCCCCTTATCCATCCGTGGTTTTGATTTTTGAGGTTTTTAGTTACCCCCAGTCAACTGAAAATATTAAACGGGAAATTCCAGAAATATACAATTTGTTTTTTCTTTTTTGTTGTTTTTGTTTTTTCCGAGACAGAGTCTTGCTCTGTCGCTCAGGCTCCAGTGCAGTGGCGCAATCTCGGCACCTGCCACCATGCCCGGCTACTTTTTATTTTTTTTTTAAGTAGAGATGGGGTTTCACCATGTTGGTCAGGCTGGTCTCAAACTTCTGACCTCATGATCCACTCACCTTGGCCTCCCAAAGTGCTGGGATTACAGGTGTGAGCCACCGTGCCTGGCCGAAATATACAGTTTGTACGTTTTAAATTGTACATTGCTCTGAGTAGCATGAAGAAATCGCCACTCCGTCCCAACCTGATGTGGATCCTCCGTTTGTCCAGCGTATCCACGCTGCAGGTGTTACCAGCCCCAGAGTCACTTAGTAGTCATCTCAGTCATCAATTCAACTCTTGAGGTTTTAGAGTGCTTGTGTTCAAGTAATCCTATTTTACTTAATTTTTGCTTCACTACTAATAATTATTAGTTATTTCTGTTAATGTCTTACTGTGCCTAGTTTATATATAAAACTTTGTCAAAAGTATGAATATACAGGGAAAACATAGCACAGTATGTATAGGGCTCAGTATTATCAGCAGTTTCAGGCATCTGCTGAGGGTCTTAGAATGCATTCGCCACAGATAAGGGAGAATACTCTAAAAACACGAGAGAAAAACAGTGCCTTGTCCTTTTCTCCAGCACCCTCTTTCCAGAAAGAATCTAATTAGAAGAGTCTTGAATCTTTCTTTCTGCAATGGCTAAGGCTCTGCCATCACAGGTGCTCCTTCTCCTGCCCCAGGCCCAGCTGTCTTCCTTTCCTTCCTCAAACAAGCCAGGTACATTCCTTTGGGACACGCCACTCCCTCTATCTGAATCTCCCTGACCTAAATCATTACTTGTTTGGTTCTTTTTTCTTTTCTTTTCTTTTTTTTTTTTTAGAGGGAATTTCGCTCTGTCACCCAGGCTGCAGTGCAGTGGCATGATCTTGGCTCACTGCAACCTCAGCCTCCCAGGTTCAGACGATTTTCCTGCTTCACCCTCCCGAGTAGCTGGGATTACAGGCACCCACCACCACACTCGGCTAATTTTTTTTTTTTTTTTTTCATAGAGACGGGTTTCACCATGTTGACCAGGCTGGTCTTGAACTCCTGACCTCAGGTGATCCGCCTGCCTTGGCTTCCCAAAGTGCTGGGATTACAGGCGTGAGCCACTGTGCCTGGCCACTTGTTTGGTTCTTACCATCCAGTCCCCAGCTCAGAGAAGTCTTCCTGGACCCTGTTGAAAGTAGCCTCTTCCACCAGCCAAGTCTTTTATTTGTTCTATTTCCTCCATGACATCTATCAGTGTCTGCAATTATTTTGTTCACTTAGGGTTCTACTTACTTATTTCTACTTACTTATTTCCACCACCAGCATATAAATTTGTTGAAACAGACACACTGTCTGTATTGTACCCCTCTGTATCCCCAGGCTCCAAACAATGCCTGGCATAGAGTAGAAATTCAACAAATATGCATTGCATGAATGAATGCTTGCAGGAATTAATGAATGGTGGTGGTAATACAGCCTCATGGTTAGAACTACAGGCTTCAAAACCTGACATCTTTGAGTATGAATTCTGGATTGAACATTTAGTAGTTACCTGAACACAGGCAAGTCAGTGAACTGCTCAAAGCCTCATTTTCTTCCTTTGTAAAACAGGGTCAAATATAGTATTTATCTCGTAAGGTGGTTATGAGAATTCAATGAGAACAACACTGGCCAAGTACTAAGCACAGTGGCTGGCACATAACCTCAGCAAATGGGCATTACAATTATCCTCCTATTTTCCCCTATTCTGTAATACTCTTCCTACTATTGCCAATTAATGGAAACTACAATTCTTTTTTCTATCTTACCTATAGAAAGTCTTCCTGAGGAGACTCTGGTCTAATTGATTCTTTCTCTATTGCCATATTGAAGTTCCATCTGCTTGCAAATTACTGTAGAATAAGAATAGAATGACAATTTAGTTAGCATCTACTATGCTCAGGCATTTGATATATACTGGATTATCTCTTTCACCCACATGGAACTCTGCCAGGGGGAAGAGCAGACAGTGGCAATTGTGCCGTGATATCTGTTTGAAACGCTTGTTCTTCAGTGCTGTAAAGAAATAGCACTTGAACATAAATCTCAGCAAAGCTATTTTTATACTTTCTGCAGAAAGGGTACACTCACCAGCAGTTTTGCCATGAGAGTACACTGAACAAAGGAGACAGGGTCATTTATAACCTGACGCTTCCACCTTACTGCTGTGTCCGGTTTCTACTGGCTGGAATGGGACCTCACATTCTGTATTTGCCTTGATTGGCTAGCAACTTAGAACTTTTTAAAAGAGGCAAAGGCAGGGGAGAACAAAGGAAGGAGGAAGTAACTTGTGGAATGCTGAGAAAGGTAAAAACACCTTCAGATAAGGAAGAGGAACAGGCTATGACTTAATGCTTGCTTGGACTAGTATAAGCATGCCAGGGCAAATATTTAGGCTAAATTGTGGGAGCTAAGAACATAAAGCACATCGATTTCTTTATTATGGCTAGCAGATATTTAAGAATATTAGCACAGGTCTTTGAATAAATTTTGCTTTTAAGAGAAGTTGCTATTTATTCCTAATTAGACTGGGAGGAAAGTCTTTGAAGAGGAACCTCTACTTTATTTTTCATGTATCCATTCTACCTTCTTTTTTAGTGATAGAGTCATAATTGCTTGGGGAAGGAGGAGCAAAGAGAACATTTCTCGGACTCCCTGGCAGTCAGTTGTGGCCATGAGACTAAGCTGTGGCCAATTAGATAAAAGCAGAAGGAAACTGGTTCAGCAGGAAAACTAGCCTATATTTGTCCTTTCCCCCACCCCACCCACACAGTTCCTGCAACCTAGAATGTGGAGGTGGGGGTAGGGATGGTCCTTAAAGGTAGCTTGAATCTTGAGGTGAACATGAGGATGGATGAACATGAGGATGGTGGGGCAGAAAAATAAAAGAAACTTGCACACTAGCCCTAGAATCCCTACCTACACACTACATTTCTGGGAGAAATAAAAACCGCATTTCTATTTCATTCAAGTCAGTGGTATCTGAGCTTTTCTATGATAAGTAGCAAACCCTAATCCTAACCTTTACTATAGGCATCATAAGCCCATGGTATTAATGAAGACTTGGAACTCAGGAAGAGTGAATAATTTGTCCAAGATTACACAGCTAAAAAGCCACCAACCTGGTATTTGAATGTTGATGAACTTCATTCTAATAAACAAGTTTTTTCCATTAATCCTGCAAGTTAGGTCTCAATTCAGGGCAGAAAGGATCTCAGAGGGGTTTACCTCCAACCCTCAGGCAATAGGGAATCCTTTCTCCAGCATCCCTGAAGACCACCCCAGCCTCAGGCTTAATGGCCTCTGGGGACATAAAACTCATGACTCACTGTTCAATCCTTTATTTATTTATTTATTTATTTATTTATTTATTTATTTATTTTTGAGATGAAGTGTCTCTTTGTTGCCCAGGCTGGAGTGCAGTGGCACGACTCCAGCTCACTGCAACCTCTGCCTCTCAGGTTCAAGCAATTCTCCTGCCTCAGCCTCCTGAATAGCTGGGACTGCAGGCACATGCCACCACACCTGGCTAATTTTTGTATTTTTAGTAGAGACTGGGTTTCACCATATTGGTCAGGCTGCTCTCAAACTCCTGACCTCAGGCAATCCACCCACCTCGGCCTCCCAAAGTGCTGGGATTACAGGTGTGAGCCACCGCGCCCGGTCCTCAATCCTTCATTTTTCAGAAAGCTCTTCTTTGATGTAACAGCTGAAATTGACTTTTTTTATAATGTCCACGCCATAATTGTGAACTTTCAAACCAGTGAGACCTTGTGGTGTCCACTTGGCTCTTCAAACCTTTCAGGACAGCCTTCAGGTGTCTCTTGGTCTTCTGTATGCCAACTACAATGAATCCTCATTCATTCATAACACAGAGGAGGGATGCTTATGTGCCAAACACTGGGCTATGCACTGAGGCAGATGTGCTGGCTGACCTCAAGGAGTTTGTAGTCTAACGGGACTCCCTAAAAGGGCGTGGTCTCTTTTGGTCCCATTTAACTGTGCCAATTTCTTTCGGAAGAATGGTTCTTATGAGTAGTGTTTCCAATTATGGGGAGATAGACTCATAAACTTAGATTCTTTGTGTCCACCTATCTTAGCCCCTTTATATTTTCTTTTCTTTTATTCTCATCATACTCCCCCTGGAGAACTCAATCGTGCCTGGAATTTCAGTGGTAACCTAAACGCCAACCAATCCCAGGCCTTTATCTCTAAACTCTCTCTTAGGCTCCAGACTCAAATGTAAAGGTCTAATTGTCAACTCCACCTTGATATACTGCAAACCCCTCAAATGCAGTAAGTCCAAAGCTGAATCCATCGTCTCTCTCCCTGCCTCCCTTCTGCCTCCAATGCAGCCTCTCCTCCTGCACTCTCTGCTCTGGTTAATGTTACTGTGATCTATGCCATTTTCTAACCTCGCATGATCCCTTCCTCTAGCTTACACTCCACTTTCTTCCCTGCCATTCTCTTATAAATTCCCCACATCCCTCCCCACCTCCACGGCCACTGTTGAGTCCTGCATCATCATTTATCCAAACAATTCCAATAAACCCCCTGGCTAACCTTCCTGTTCCTGATGAAAACCCTGTACATTTCAATCTAACCTACACACTATCAGCATTGACCTCTTTAAATCAAACACTGGCTATAGCACCTATTACTTAAAAGCCTTCCATGCAACATGCCTGCTTATCAACTGCGAATGCTGTGGCCATAAAATGACCTCACCAATCAGGCTTCAATTTATGTTTCCAGCTTCATCTCTTCCCACTTCCCTGATCCAATTTTTGTTTGTTTGTTTGTTTCTGAGACGGAGTCTCGTGATCTTGGCTCACTGCAACCTCTGCCTCCTGGGTTCAAGTGATTCTCCTGCCTCAGCCTCCCAAGTAGCTGGGATTACATGCACCTCCCATGCCCGGCTAATTTTGTGTTTTTAGTAGAGACGGGGGTTTTGCCATGTTGGTCAGGCTGGTCTTGAACTCATGACCTCAGGTGACCTACCTGCCTCGGCCTCCCAAAGTGCTGGGATTACAGGCATGAGCCACCGCGCCTGGCCCCCAGTCCAAATTCTATACACTGAACCCCAGCTACAGGAAACGGCTCCCTGCTTTCCAACATGTCACATGCTTTTCTGACCCTGTGTCTTCCCTCTTCCTCTTCCTGCTGGTCCCTCTTTGGTAAAATGAAGTCTTCCCCAGTCACCAGGCTGAGCTTTGTCACTGCCTGTGTACTCCCTAGCTGATTGCACAACCTCTTCTAAAATCTTGCCACATGATCATAGAATGCTTGTTATATGACAGACTTTGTGACTATAAGGTCATGGGGGGGGCAATGATTACTTCTTACACACCTCTACATGCTCATGATTTACACACATCCTGCACACAATAATGGAGAAATCAGAGGTGATTAACCATTAATGAGCCCTAACTTGGTGTCAGGCCCTACCTTGGTCATGTCACACACCGTTCACCGGAAGACCATAAGGGGTTCTTGAGGTCAGAAAGCGCAGCATAATAATAGACTTACTGCATAATATTTATTGAACACTTACTGTATACCTGGTGTCAAAATTTAAAAGTGCACTGAGTAAAGTTCAACAGCAAGGCAGTAACTAGAAATGGAAAACCAAAAATCGTATGTCCTCACTGATATGTAGGAGCTAATCTTTGAGGACACAAAGGCATAAAAATGATACACTGGACTTTGGGGACTTGAGGGAAAGAGTGGGAGGGGAGTGAGAGATAAAAGACAATAAATATGGGGCAGTGTATATTACTCGGATGATGGGTGCACCAGGTTCTCACAAATCTCCACTAAAGAACTTACTCATGTAACGAATACCACCTGTACCCCAATAAATTGTGGAAAAATAAATTTAAAATAATAATAATAAAATAAATAAAATGTGGATGGGGAAACACCTGGCATTTCAGAAGCATCTGCACTGTTATTGACATGCAACATGGCTTCTATGGTCAATGTTAACTGTGTGATATTTTCCAAGTAATTCATTTGCAGTGCCTGTTCCAGAAAACTGGAACAAAACAGAAAAGAAGAAATTCAACTAGGTATATCAATATTTTGAAAAAAACAAAAACAAAAAAAAACAGCAAGGCAGGCTTTAGTCAAGGGTATTGCAATTGGGAAGAGAGGCCAGAACTCAATCTGAAGTCAACTGCACTGAACCAAAAGGGTAGAAGAGGTTGTTTTGCTTTGTTTTGTTCTAGGTTCTGGGGTACATGGGCAGGATGTACCAGTTTGTTACATATGTAAACATGTGCCATAGTGGCTTGCTGCACCTATCAACCCATCACCTAGGTATTAAGCCCTGCATGCATTAGCAATTTTTCCTAATGCTCTCTCTCCCCCTACCCCACCCCCCAACAGGCCCCAGTGTGTGTTGTTCCCCTCCCTGTGTCCGTATGTTCTCATTTTTCAACCCCAACTTACAAGTGAGAACATGCAGTGTTGTTTCTGTTGCTGCATTAGTTTGCTGAGGATAATGGTTTCCAGCTCCAACCATGTCCCTGCAAAGGGCATGATCTCGTTCTTTTTTATGGCTGCATAGTATTCCATGGTATATATGTACCACATTTTTTTTATCTGATCTATTGTTGATGGGCAACTGGGTTGATTCCATGTCTTTATTATTGTGAATAGTGCTGCAATGAACATACGCATGCGTGTATTTTGTAATAGAACGATTTATATTCCTTTGGGTATATACCCAAGTAATGGAATTGTTGGGTCAGATGGTATTTCTGGTTCAAGATCTTTGAGGAATCACCATACCATCTTCCACAGTGGTTGAACTAATTTACATTCCCACCAACAGTGTAAAAGTGTTCCTATTTCTCTGCAACCATCTGTTGTTTCTTGACTTTTTAATAATGGCCATTCTAACTGGCATGAGATGGTATCTTATTGTGGTTTTGATTTGCATTTCTCTAATGATCATTAATAATGAGCTTTTTTTTTTCCATGTTTGTTGGCTGCATGAATGTCTTCTTTTGAAGGTGGGGGAGTTTTTAAGAGCCAGGGTGAGTTGGACCATAGGTGACCTGTGCTTGCTAATTGGCCTTACCCAAAGGAAAATAAGCTTTCTTGCATCTTCTTGACAGGAAGAAATTTTACAACACAGAGCAAGGTGCCCACTGAAAGTTAGGCTCCTACCCTCCCATAGGTAGAGGGATTCTCTTCCATGATGATTACATTTCAAAAGGATGGTTACCAGGTCCTAGAGAAAGACATTCTTGGGTTGTCCACTGGCAAGAGAATTTTTTTTATTTGAAATTCAATTGTTATTAATATAATTGAGCCACATAACACAAATTCATTAACAATATGAGAATTTTTTTTTTTCTTTTGAGATGGTGTCCTGCTCTGTCACCCAGGCTGGAGTGCAGCGGTGCGATCTAAAAGATTTATGGTCGGGCACAGTGGCTCATGCCTCTAATCCCAGCACTTTGGGAGGCCAAGGTGGGTGGATCACCTGAGGTCAGAGGTTCAAGACCAGCCTGGCCAACATGATGAAACCCTGTGTCTACTAAAAATACAAAAAATTAGCCGGGTGTGGTGGTGGGTACCTGCAATCCCAGCTACCCGGGAAGCTGAGGCAGAAGAATCTCTTGAACCCAGGAGGCAGAGGTTGTGATGAGCCAAGATCACACCACTGCACTCCAGCGTGGGCGACAAGAGGGAAACCTCATCTCAAAAATAAAAATAAAAAGATTTACATCTCAAAGGGGCAGAGAAAGAATTCACAATTATGATTTTCTAAAGTAAATGCTCTAAAAAGGGAAGAGAAGGACCCCAAGTGAGAAAGAAGTCTGTCTAAAGTCAAGTCAAGCCTAGAGGAAAGTTAAGGCCATCTCCGTCACTAGCATTGTGTTGAGCACTTTGCATAAACCATCTTATTTAATAATCCTCACAACGGCCCTCTGTAGAAGAATATCAACTTCATTTCACAGCAAGAAGATGGCAGAGCTGCATGCCATAGCTGACAGATAATTCACTTCTCCAGCCTCAGTGTGTGATCAGTCTGGCAGATAAAAAGAACTGAGCAAGTCAGTCTGTTGAATGAATAAACGATCTTTGCTTTACACTTCTCTGGTATTTAGTTGACCAAATGATCGTATTATATGGAAAAGGATGGTAGATCCCATGAGATTCTATGAGATCTCAGTTAGCAACCTGTGGGTCTCTTCCCAAGTACCACAGACCAAGGGCAAGCACACCGCACCTGGGTAAAACAAGCAAGACATAGAAGAATAAGTAATAAAAGTGGGAACAAAATGCTGAAGGAAACTGACAAAGGCATGAGGCACTACAGAAGGTTTCATTTTAGGCAGCCACCTTGCTACTGAGCAGCTATTGGCAAGTGGCCAATAACGTTAGCCATTGTTGTGTGCAAGCCAGTGTAACACAGTGGTTAGGAGTATGAACCCTGAAGTCAGACTACCTGGTTATTACAAGAGTAATGGATTAGTTTGTTAAGGTTGCCATAACATAGTGCCATAAACTGAGTAACTTTTTTTTTTTTTTTTTTTTTTTTTTTTTTTTGAGACAGAGTCTCACTCTGTTTCCCAGGCTGGAGTGCAGTGGTGCAATCTTGGCTCACTGCAACCTCCACTTCCCAGGTTCAAGAGATTCTCCTGCCTCAGCCTCCCTAGCAGCAGGAATTATAGGTGCATGCCACCACATTAGGCTAATTTTTGTTTTTTTTAGTAGAGACAGGGTTTTACCATGTTGGCCAAGCTGGTCTCGACCTCCTGACCTCAAGTGATCTACCCACCTTGGCCTCCCAAAGTGCTAGGATTACAAGTGTGAGCCACCACACGTGG
The DNA here is from genome assembly GCF_000001405.40 of Homo sapiens. NCBI lineage: Eukaryota > Metazoa > Chordata > Mammalia > Primates > Hominidae > Homo > Homo sapiens. The sequence goes on along the minus strand of NC_000022.11, from coordinate 34,093,364 downwards.
CCTAGACTGAGTGACTTACAAAACAGAAATTTATTTCCTTATAATTCTGGAGGCTGGAAGTCTTAGATCAAAGTGTCAGCAAAATTGGTTTCTTCTAAGGCCTTTCTCCTTGGCTTAAGGATAGCCATCTTCTCCCTGCGTTCCCATATAGCCATCCTTCTGTGTGTGTCTGAGTCCTAATCATCTCTTGCTTCTTTTCTTTGACAGAATCACTCTGTCATCCAGGCTGGGGTGCAGTGGCGATCATGGCTCACTGCAGCCTCAAACTCCTAGGCTCAAGCAATATTCCCACTTCAGCCTCCTGAGTAGCTGGGACTAGAGGTGCATACAGCCACACATGGCTAACTTTTTAAAAATGTTTTTTGTAGACACAGGCATCTTTCTATGTTGCCCTGGCTGGTCTCAAATTCCTGACCTCAAGGGATCCTCCTGCCTCAGCCTCCTGCAGTGCTGGGATTACAGGCATGAGCCACTATGCCCAGACCTCATCTCTTCTTCTTATAAGGATACTAGTCATAGATTAGAGCCTGCCCTAATGACCTCATTTTAACTTAATCACCTCTTTAAAGGCCCTATCTAGCTCCAAATATAGTTACGTTCTAAGATACTGAGGGTTCAGGTTTCAACATATGATTTTTTTTGAGGGAGATCCAATTCAGTCTGTAGTATTTAATGAAGTTAATAGATGTAATATATGTAAAATACTTTAAATTGATTCCTGCCACACAGTTTGTTCTGTAAGTGTTGTTATTATAATCATTATCTGTAATTTTAATAAATTTTATTTCCATGTCTTTCTCTGGCACATAGTGTTCAATAAATACGAGCCTTGTTGTTCATTTATTCGAGAAATATGTATTGATCACCTATTGTGTGTTAGCCACTGTTCTAGGTGAAGGGACGGAGCTATGAATAAGATGCATAAGGGGCCTGTCTTCAGGAAGTGTCATTATTATCATTATTATCATTATTATAGTTATTATATCTTAGGCATTTCATTATCTGCCAATCACAAAACTTTACTTTTAAAGCAAAGTTGTGAGTTTAGCAAGTGAGTATATATGTTAGCTGCAAGTGATTTGTTTTTCTCAAATGTCCATAAACCATCTCTTTGCTGTGTTGGAACTCCATGGAATTAAAGTTCAGTTCAGTGTGTTATAGTGTTCAGGTTACACTTTATTATAAATGGGGGCACGGCTGGGTGGGGCGGCTCACGCTGTAACCCCAGCACTTTGGGAGGCTGAGGCGGGTGGATCACCTGAGGTCAGGAGTTCAAGACCAGCCTGGCCAACATGGAGAAACCCCATCTCTACTAAAAATACAAAATTAGCTGGGCGTGGTGGTGCATGCCTGTAATTCCAGCTACTGGGAAGGCTGAGGCAGGAGAACTGCTTGAACCTGGGAGGTGGAAGTTGCAGTGAGGGAGATCGCACCACTACACTCCAGCCTGGGCAACAAGACCGAAACTCCGTCTGAAACCTGTCTCTACTAAAATTACAAAAAGTTAGCCGGATGTGGTAGTGTGCGCCTGTAGTCCCAGCGACTCAGGAGGCTGAGGCAGGAGAATCGCGTGAACCTGGGAGGCGGACGTTGCAGCGAGCCGAGATGGCGCCATCTCACTTCCTCCCCAGTGACAGTGCGAGACTCCATCTCAAAAAACAAACAAAACAAAACAAAACAAAACAAAAAACGGGGACAAAACATGCCGATGTTTGTTCTTACATTCCTTGACGTCTTGATTTCTAGGATCACTGACTTTGGCTCTGAGACCATCTGACATTCCTTCTAGCACCCTGGGATGCAATCTTTGAGGACTCGGGTTGTCACCTCATTTGGAGCAACCGTCTTCCCCCTTCCTCTCCGATGCCACCTGTGATCTCACCTGTACGGGGCTGCATTCTACCTCCACGCTGCTTATTCACCTTTGTCCGTTCATATCTTGAATTAGGCAGAACCCCTTTCATTTAAAAGCTAAAGAAACCCAGTTTCAAACCCCAACTAGAAAACAAAAGGATTTTATGGACTAATGTAAATAAAAGCCTAAGGTACTCCAGGAGAACTGTCCAACATCTGTCTCCATCTTTTGGTTCTGTTTTCCTCTCTACTGGCTTCAGTCTCACATGGGCTTGCCTTTGATGGTTACAAGATGGTCCCCAGCACGCCGTCTTCATTCTATGAGCTTGAAGCTCCAGCAGAAAGAGGACTTCTTTTTCCCAATGTTCCAGCAGAACTACAGGGCGTATTCTCATCAGCTTTGTCCGCATCATAAATCTGATCTCAGACTATTCACTTGATTCTGATGGGTCAGATCTGAGCATGAGCTGAAGTCACCTGTAGAGCCTCATGACTGAAGAGGAGAGAATGAGTGGTCCCCTGAAGATTCTGTTGTTAACACCAAAGGAAGGAGGAATGGATACAAAATTAGAGGAGCAAAAATTAGATGTCCATAATAAATCATATTTCCCACGTGGATATGGATGGAGACAATTCAGAATTGCATCGTCCTGAAGTTTATTTCTAACATGTGAGATGACATCATTTTTTTATTCCTCAAATAGTGGGCTTCTCTTTTTCCTTTGCCTTGCTTCATGTAATGCTGGCAGCATCATTTTTGTATGGTTCAGGATATGTAAGGATACGCTTGTTGTGAACTTTTCTCTCACATTGAAAACTCCACTTTTGAATCTGGCCACCATCTTCCAAAAACCTGAGCTTACTGGAGATTTTCCAATGGGTCTCTTAACATATCTATAAATTTTCTCCTTGTATTCATTCAATTTTTTTGAAGAAATTATATACATTCTTTCTTTCGACAATTATTAACTGAGCACTTACCCAGGAAATACTATCGAGGAAAGTACTATTCTAGGTCCTAACACTACACCAATGAACTGGAGAGAAACCATCACTACCCTGCCAGAGTCCATACTTCAGAGGAGTGGGGAATTAGGTAGGAATAATGTAGTGTTAAAATGCTGCCTTGATCTACTTTTGAGGCCCTAGCTGGAGGCCAGTCAGTTCCTCCTTCTTGAGTAGCTGCTTTAGTCCACACCCCAACCATCTCCCTTTTAGAGGTCACATTCTGGGCCACTATACACCCACCCTAATCATCCTAGGGTCAGGGATCAGACAACCAAGGACAGCCTCTATGCCCCAGAACCCACTGGAATTATTTAAATTAGTCAGCCCTAGCCTACTTGCCCTGCCCTGCTCATTCCTTCCCACGGAAGCCACGAGAAAGGCTCTTGCCTGGGATTTCCCTCCCTCCCTCTGCCTCAGGACCACCCCATTGCTTCCCCTGCATGGGTGCTGTCTCTGCAGGGAACTTCGCATGACAAAACTGTAAAACCCTTTCCAGTTTATCTCTCCTCATCTGTGTCTGGCCTCCTCAAGCCTCACCCAATATTATATGGTTAAAACTCCGGGGAAGTTAAATCTCTAGTATTTGATATCTAGGTATGATTGCCCCAACTTCCCACTTTTGGGGCCTAGAGAAGCCCTAAAACACCATGAACTTTCTGCAAACTCTTTGTGGTTGGGATTCCTGCATCCCCACGAAGAACTTCTTTTCAAGCGCAAATCTCCTTGGTCAAAAACTCACATTCTTTATCTACATCCAAAAAAAAAAAAAAAAAAAAAATCCACTCACAACTAGTTTTTGTAAACTTGTATTGAAGGCCAGGCATGATGGCTCATGCCTGTAATCCCAGCACTTTGGGAGGCCGAGGTGGGCGGATCATGAGGTTAGGAGATTGAGACCATCCTGGCTAACACGGTGAAACCCCATCTCTACTAAAAATACAAAAAATTAGCAGGGCATGGTGGCGGGTGCCTGTAGTCCCAGCTACTCGGGAGGCTGAGGCAGGAGAATGGCGTGAACCCGGGAGGCGGAGCTTGCAGTGAGCCGAGATCGCGCCACTGCACCCCAGCCTGGGCAACAGAGCAAGACTCCGTCTCAAAAAAAAAAAACAAAGAATAATGACAACTGCTACAAGATCAAGCAAAATCAATGTGGAAAAGCGTCCACTGAATTTAGTAATGTCCCCATCTTAAGAGATCTTCTCATGAGATATTTTAGTAGAGTGGTAAAGACAGATAAGAGTGAGATGCAGATTGACCAGGTGCAGTGGCTCACGCCTGTAATCCCAGCACTTTGGGAGGCTGAGGCGAGTGGATCACTTGACGTCAGGAGTTCAAGACCAGCCTGGCCAACATGGTGAAACCCCATCTGTATCAAAAAATACCAAAAAAAAAAAAAAATTAGCCAGGCATGGTGGTGCGCACCTGTAATCCTAGCTACTCAGGAGGCTGAGGTAGGAGAATCACTTGAACCCAAGAGATGGAGGTTGCAGTGAGCCAAGATGGCACCACTGCACTCCAGCCTGGGCAACAGAGTAAGACACTGTCTAAAAAAAATAATAATAATAAATAAAATAATAATAATAAAAAAAGATGCAGACTATGTGGGAGGTGAGAAAACAAATGTCTTCTCTAATGAAGAGTGGAAGGAAAATGTGGTGGGAGATGCATCAGCTGCCCCAGATTTTAGCCTTAGGGTCATGCCTAAGTGGCACAGAGAGAGACAAAGGTGCCAACCTTGCTATGGGAGTGTATCAATGGATGAGCTGGAGGTAGCGCTCTGGGCTCCTGTGGGCTGCATCTGTGGCCAAGGGACCATTAATACCTACATGCTCCAGTAAGAGGACTCAGAGTTTCCAAGGGAAACTTCTGCAGAGAAGCAGAAGTCTAAGGATGGAGCAAAGCAAATACAGAAGCAAATAACCAAGATCACAGACTCCAGCACACATATCCACTCATAAAAAACGGAGGCAGCTGAGTGCCAGGGCTCACGCCTGTAATCCCAGGACTTTGGGAGGCCAAGGTGGGCAGATCACAAGGTCAGGAGTTCGAGACCAGCCTGACCAACATGGTGAAATCCCGTCTCTACAAAAAATACAAAAATTAGCTGAGCATGATGGTGTGTGCCTGTAATTCCAGCTACTCGGGAGGCTGAGGAAGGAAAATTGCTTGAACCTGGGAGGCGGAGGTTGCAGTGAGCCCAGATCATGCCACTGCACTCCAGCCTGGGGGACAGAGAAAGACACTGTCTCAAAAAAAAAAAAAGAAAGAAAGAAAGAGAAAAAAATCTTTGCAAATTCAAACTAATGTTGTGTGATGTAACAGATTTGAATAAGCAAGTATACAATAGCAGACTATGGTAGTAGAGCCTGCAAGAAGGGAACCAAGGATTGCTAGGGAATACTAGATAAGAAAATACAGCCAGTGGCAGGAAAACCACCACTATAGCCAATGGAGAACTTAAAGAAACACACACACATACTCTGGCCAGGCACAGTGGCTCATGCCTGTAATCACAGCACTTTTGGAGGCTGAGGCAGGCAGATAATTTGAGGCCAGGAGTTCGAGACCGGCCTGAACAACATGGCGAAACCTCATCTCTATTAAAAATACAAAAATTAGGCTGGGCGCAGTGGCTCACACCTGTAATCTCAGCACTTTGGGAGGCCTAGGCGGGCAGATCATGAGGTCAGAAGATCGAGACCATCCTGGCTAACACGGTGAAACCCCATCTCTACGAAAAATACAAAAAAATTAGCTGGGCATGGTGGCATGCACCTGCAGTCCTGGCTACTCGGGAGGCTGAGGCAGGGGAATCGCTTGAGTCAGGGAGGCAGAGGTTGCAGTGAGCCGAGATCACGCCACTGGAATAGCTTGAACCAGGGAGGTGGAGGTTGCAGTGAGCCGAGATCACGCCACTGCACTCCAGCCTGGGTCAGAGTGAGACTCTGTCTCAAAAAGAAAAAAAAGAAAAGAAAAAAGAAATACAAAAATTAGCCAGGCATGGTGGCATGTGCCTATAATCTCAGCTACTTGGGAGGCTGAAGCATGAGAATCGTTTGAATCTGGGAGGCAGAGATTTCAGTGAGCCAAGATTGTGCTGCCACACTCCAGCCTGGGCAACAGAGTGGGACTCTGCCTGAGGAAAAAAAAGAAAGAAAGAAAAGAAACACACACACATGCTTATACACACACATATTGACACAGATAGAGAAAGAGGCACAGGAGGAGTAGGATGAGGTCTGAGCAGGCAAGGGTTAAAAACAGCCATCCAAGGAGAAATCAAGCACTACTTCTTCCATCGCCCTTGGAGACTAGGAGAACAGTAAAGACCCTAGGAAGTTGGAGCGTAGCGATCAGGGTATGTGGCTTACAATGTAGAATGGGAGAAACAGAAACAGATGGGCAGCTCCAAATGAAGGAGGTGAGCACTCACCAGGTGTCTAGACTCACATACTAACCACACTTAGTGAAAGTGCCATCCACAAAGAAAATTGCTTCCAGGCTTAAAAACCATGGTTCAGTAACCTGCCTGAACCACCATCCTATATTTGGTCTAGGCTAATGGGGATTCCTAGACAAACCTTAATATTCTTGAGGAAGGGAGAAACACAAAATTTTGCCAAAGAAAGAAGTGTAAGGAGAAAATGTTTAGTCACTCAACCACTCAACAAATATTTCCTGAGCAGCTACTATATGCCAGAATAAAGCTGTGAACAGAGCACAAGCATTTGATCTTGTGTTTTTCTTCTCTTCATCTCAATGTGAGTTTCCTCCCTGTCCACCAGAAGCATGCATATTGCCCAGAGATCTAAGATTGTTAGAAAACGTGAAAAAAAACAAGAAGTTGCAAACAGTAGGAGACTGATGAATAAAAGGATTTCTCCCATCCTGCCCAATGAATAGTCACTCTTAGAGAGTCTGTCCCAAGAATCTGCTTTCCTGAACTCAGAAATATACTTTGACTTAAACTGATGACTCTTTTTGGGTAATCAAACAAGGACTGAATTGAACACATTGGCTGAAAATTCGAGGTCCCACTGAACAGATGTCGGAGCTATTTTCCTTCCCCTACCCTAGTTAGGAGGTTGGTTAACTAGGAAGCCCAAATGAAAGCTGCTTTCATGGTATCTGGAATATAAATTGACATTCATGATCTGTTCTGCTAACGGCATTAACTTTATAATAGCTCTGAAGTGATTCTAACGTATAAGTAGGATTGAGAACCACTGCTATATAGCCCATGGAGAACTTACAGAAACACACACACATACTTACACATACACATATTGACACAGATGGAACAAGAGGCACAGGGTGAGTTGGATAAGGTCTGACCAGGAAAGGGTTAGAAACAGCCATCCAAGGAGGAATCAAGCATCACTAATTCTATCTCCCTAGGAAACTAGGAAAACAGTAAAAGCCCTACAAAGAGTGTAGTGATTGGGGATGTTACCAAGAGTGGACAATAAGTTCATCCATTATGCATTTCTTCTAAAAGTAATTGCTCCTACTTTCATTAAATCGTTATTTGAACACTTCCTACCTCCTACATACACTGCATACTCAAAAAACGAAGGACAAGCCTCCACCCTCAAATGGCTCACAATCTAGTGAGGAAGAGAGGCAAATAAATGGTCTGCAGTGGCACAGCTCAATTGAGCTGTGATAAGAGGAATTTGCAGAGAGGGAATGCAGCCAATGTCGAGGGAATTAGGTAAGGCTTTCCAGAAGAACTGACACCTGAACTGAATCTCTTGTCACCTTAATCTTGAAATTTCTCTTCTGTAGAAATGTGAAAAATAAACGTCTGTTGTTTAGGCCACCCTGTCTACGGCATTTTGTTGTAGCAACCCAGACAGATGACTACAGTCTAGCAGCAAAGAGAGGGAATGAGCATTCCAAGTAGCAGGAGCAGCACTCAGGGATGAGAGGGTGCAGGCGCAGTAGCAGAGTCCCAGAGGGATGAGAGAGTGTGGCATGTTCTGGAGCTATAAGCACTATTGATGCCTATAGCAATGATGATGACAATTAGAGAGAACTTCAAGACAGCTGATATCCAAGAACTAAACTGCCTAGTACCAACTCTAATTGATATGTGCATTCAAGGAAGGGCAAGGTCAGTGAACACCAAGGGCCAGGGCAGGGGGTGTTTCTTGGAGGGGGTATGGCAGCAGAGAGGCCCACTGTCCAAGGCTCAGAATGGAATCCAATACATTTCCATTTGCCTTCAACTGTAAAGTAAGCATGACCCTCCTCTCACTTCCCCTTGGGAAGTTTGCTTTCCAGAGGAAGCTGTTTAAGGACATGTATTTGCTTGAGGCAGATTGAAAAGGTGATGGCTGTGGTGAATGTGCATGGAGCTCATTCAAATGGGATGGATTCAAGTACATTTTGGAAAAAGGATTTTCAAACGCCTTTGCCAGGCCGGTTATACAGAGGCAGCTTGACTGATCATCTGACACTCTTTCATGTGTTGGGTATACATCTATAGCAACCTTTTAGGGCACTTACCCAGCAAAAAAGTAAAATTATACATTGAAGTGGAGGCGTGATATGCAAGAGAGAGACAACAGCATCTCTATTAAACCACTTAGCACCACCATCCTCAGCCACTTGGGGCCGGAAAGATGGTCTGTTGAAGGGTGGTGTTTAAAAAAACTCATTCCAGGCATGTACAGAAATAGTTTTTTTCTAACAATTAAGAAACATTTTCAGATATTTTGCTGTGGTGGGGTATTTCAGAAACATTTATGTCTTTAAATGCCAGATTCCTCAGACTGGTTAATGCAGAAGTATTAAAAAGAAATGTATTTTTTAAAAATTTGTTTCAGAATGCACTCAGCAGAAGTGGTTCAGCATGGGGAATTTTTCATTTTTATTCAACCTCTTAATACAACCAGGAGCATCTTGGGACCCTCAAGGACCTTAATGATTAATTCTCTACTTACTTCTATATTCTCTTCTCTAGAAACTCTTCAGGTGACCTGCTAAATTCAAATACTGTCAAAATGTCAATAATCAACCAAATATTTCATGGTGTTGTGTGCATTTGTTCTATGCTGTTCCCTCTACCTAGGATGAATTTTTATTACTGTTTGCCTGGTGAATCCTTTTCTAAACCCTTTGAAATAAACAGAAACATGGCTTCCTCCAGACTCCCAAGATAAAAGGTATTAATTTCCTCTCTTCTGCAGCAACAGCTTCGAGTTCAGCCCCCACTCTTGGCCATTTGGGCAGAATGCGTGAGCTTCTGCTCCTTTCCTTCCTACCTCATAAAGATGGAGTCAGAAACAGCTTCAGAACATGACCCTTCATTCCCACCTACTCCAGACATACACCCTCCTTAGCTCTGCCCAATGCTTATTCCAAAGCTCCATGACCCTTCATTCCCACCTACTCCAGACACACACCCTCCTTAGCTCTGCCCCATGCTCATTCCAAAGCCCCTTCAATCTCAGGTGGGTGTGTTCCTTACCTGGCAAGTGTCACTTCTGTGTATGTTCTCTTGATGGACACATCAGCACAAAGATATTCCTATAAAGATATCTGACAGTTATTGAACAGTTCATGCAAAGAGCTTTTCCAAGTTTTCCCTATGTCTTAAAAATTCCACAATGTGGAATTTTTCTGATTTCCAATATTTATAGGTCTGGAACCACATGGGCAGGGCAAACCAAAGGATCAGCCTCCTATGGGCCAACTGGCCAAGAGTAAGGACTGAGCTATAGGCATTCTGATGAGCACTTACTAGAGCTTGCCACAAAGTATGTGAAAGCACAGAGGATGGTATTGCTGATCTTGCCTGGAGGACAAAGAGGGCTTCAGAGAGGAAGTGCCCTGTGCCATCATTAGATTTATGACAATGTATCCCGCCTGGCAAAATGAGGCTTAGTTGTGATGTTTGGTAGTACATAGATAAACATTTAAGTTTTAAAATGTGTCCGTTTAGAGATAATAGATAGTATAGGCGGAATGTGGATCTCACAAAAGTAGAACAATTCAGGTTTATTACATGCCATTCCACTTGCTTCATTGACAAATGGCATTTTGCCTTCACTATGAGAAGGTCATTAATCTAAGTATTTTCAAATACTAATTTATTTGATCCTCATAACAACTCTAGGAGGTAGGTATTATACTGTTTTTGGGTCCATAAGACATCAGAGAAAACTAAGTCACAGAAATGTTAAATAACTTACCCAAGGTCATAGAGCTAGCAAGTGGGAGGACTTGAACCCAGGCAGTTTGGGGCTAGTACCTATGCACCTGGACAACATAATATGCTACCTCCTATGCAGATATGTGTGGAAAAACCATAAGCTCAAGAGAACGAGGGCATATATCTTTTTCTCTTCACTGTGTATCCAGCCTTTACATTAGAGCATGGCTCATAGTTGGAGCTAAATATTAAATGCCTTTGAATAAATGGATGATAGACAATAGAAGAACATTTATTTGGTTATATTGATCACACTATTGTATCTGTGTGTTTACATATCTGTCTTCCCTTCAGACCTTCATTCTTGTCACATAGTATTTGCTCACTAAATTCACTCATTCAAAAGACATTTATTTGCTGCCTTTGTGCTTCAAAAGTACGTATCATGTAATAGAAGATCATAAATGGTACTATAATGCTGCTCTAATAAATCGGGAGAATTTTTAAAATCAAAGATGGTTTAGAACTATAGTTGTGTACAGTCATACATCATCACAACAGGGGTACCTCCCTTTAAGAAAACCAGATTTTGGCTGGGCGTGGTAGTGTATGCCTATAATCCTAGCACTTTGGAGGCCGAGGCGGGCAGATCACCTGAGGTCAGGAGTTCAAGACTAGCTTGACCAACATGGTGAAACCCTGTCTATACTAAAAATACAAAAATTAGCCGGGCATAGTGGCACGTGCCTGTAATCCCAGCTACCTGGGAGGCTGAGGCAGGAGAATCGCTGGAACCCAGGAGGCAGAGGGTGCAGTGAGCCGAGATCATGCCACTGCACTCCAGCCTGGGTGACAGAGCGAGACCCTGTCTCAAAAAAAAAAAAAAAGAAAAGTAAAGAAAATCAGATTTTTTGTGAAAGAGAGGTTGACAGAGCAGTTATATTCCATGTTGATAGAGTTTGGGTGTTCTGTCCCTTCCAAATCTCATGTTGAAATGTGACTTCCAATGTTGGAGGTGCGGCCTGGTGGGAGATGTTTGGGTCATGGGAGCAGATCTCTCATGAAAGTTTTGGTGTTTTCCTCATGGTAATGAGTGAGTTATTGTTCTGTGAGCTCATATGAGATATGGTTGTTTAAAAGAGCCTGGAACTGCCTCCTCTCTCTTGCTCCCTTTATCACAGCATGAGAGAAGCTTACACTGAGGCCTGTAAGCTTTGTGAGGCCCTCGCCAGAAGCATGCTTCCTGTACCATGCTTCCTGTACAGCCAGAGAATTGTGAGCCAAAGTAAACCTCTTTTCTTTATATTATCCAATCTCAGATATTCCCTCATAGCAACACAAAACAAACTAATACACATACAGTTCCCCCTTTATATTGATTTACAATACATTAGGGTTCCATCTTTATATTGAGTGCACAAAAAAGCCCTTTCAAGTGATTCTACATTCAAAACTTTAACTTACACCAGCTTTATGAAGGTCAGCTCAGTGACATAAAGTGAGTGTATCCATAAATCAATCAACTTACAAGATGACACATATCTCCCAGTGATGCCCGTAAGAAAGGACAGAGAACATTCTCAACAGATTATTCATAATTCTTCTGACAAAATTATGTGATGGCTATGTTTTCAATTATAATTAGTGACATTATCTAATACAGCATGTTACAGAAGAGTTGAAAAAAAAATGAACTCTAAAGTTAGCTCCACATGGATTCGAATTCCAGTCCGCTGCTTCTGGTTGTGTGCCCTTGAACATGTGACTCTGTATTTCTTTCCTCACCAAAAAAAAAAAAAAAAAAAAGAAGGAAATTAACAATGCCCATTTGCACAGGGCATTGTGAGATCATGAAAGTCAAGTGCGAGACACACAATAGCTCTGAAATAAAAGTTCATTTCCTTTGCTTCTTTCCCCTGACCCTATACCATCTGACCCAGCAATCCCACTACTGGGTGTATACCCAAAGGATTATAAATCATTCTACTATAAAGACACATGCACACGTATGTTTATTGTGGTACAGTTCACAATAGCAAAGACTTGGAACCAACCCAAATGCTCATCAATGATAGACTGGATAAAGAAAATGTGGCACATATACACCATGGAATACTACACAGCCATAAAAAAGGATGAGTTTATGTCCTTTGCAGGGACATGGGATGAAGCTGGAAACCATCATTCTCAGCAAACTAGCACAAGAACAGAAAACCAAACACTGCATGTTCTCACTCATAAGTGGGAGCTGAACAATGAGAACACATGGGCACAGGGAGGGGAACATCACACACTGGGGCCTGACAGGGGGTGGGGGGCCAGGGGAGGGATAGCATTAGGACAAATACCCAATGTAGATGACAGGTTTATGGGTGCAGCAAACCACCACGGCACATGTATACCTATGTAACAAACCTGCACGTTCAGCACATGAATCCTAGAACTTAAAGTACAATAAAAAAAATTCAAAAAGTATCAGCTTCACATTATTAATAAGCAACACCAAATGTAGAAAGACATGCCTTGCCAATGTCTTGACCCCTTGAGTCAACCAGACAAGGATTCTGGTTGCCTAGGAGGAAGCTAAGAGGGAATAGCAATTGAAACAGAAAAATAAGGGGAACTACTCCCAAATACTAGGGCTTACTTGGGTCATTTCAGTGAGTTCCTTAAAAACTCAGCAGGGGATTTTCATTGCACTATTTCCCAGAGTGGTTGATGCAATCTCCAGTAAACTATAAATGAAATAGGCATGCACGCACATACCGAGTAGTGTGGTGTCATTTACAAGAATGTGCATCCTAGAGCCAGACTGCTTGATTTAAAGCAAGACTTCAACATGTATTAGTTGTGTGTCCTTAGTTGTGTGTATTAAACTTCTTTATGACTCAACTTTGTCATTTGTGAAAGGAAGATAAGAATAATATCTACCTCGTAAGGATGTTTGGAGAATCGAATAAAATAATGTATGTACAGCACTTAAAATAGAGCTTAACATATTGTAAGTGCCCAATAAATCCAGTATGTTATTAATATACACATTCATAAGTATTAATAGGCTTATATGAGTGGTGAAATAATGATTGATTCTCATTGCTTTACATTATTCTGTATTTTCCAAATCTATTACAACATTAGTATATTAATTTATAGTCTCATGCACGCAAAACCTTAATAGTGCCTCACATTTTGAAGTGGGATGTTTAAAACATCAGTTCAAAGAGTGGGACAGTTGGAGATTCCTACAGAGCCAATGGGTGGAATCCACAAAGAACCAACAATTGATGATTTGGTGATGTAGTCTAGAGCAATCCAGGGAGTGAGTAGCTAACAAAGCTTTTGCCCGGATGGCCTTAAACCACAGACCAAAGGAGTGAAAGTCCTTTAAAGTAGGGGTTCAGACTCAATTACCTACAGGGATGTTTTAGGTAACATGAATGAGTAAAGCCGATCTGATGTAACCAGTAAGGAGTGGTGGAACCCGGGACAACTGGACCACACTCATTCTATTTAAAGAGGGCAACCACCACCAGTTTCTGCTCACTGTGGCTATGCCGTGTTTCCAGATTTTGTAATTTTTAAAGTGAATTCAAAATTCTGGAGTTTCATGTAAAACATCCCATATTTTTTAAAATGTTGTATTTGTATGCATTCATGAGGTACAAGTGGAAATGTGTAACATGGATAGATTACATAATGGTGAAGCCAAGGCTTTTAGTATATCCATCACCTGAAAAACCAACATTGTACCCATGAAGGAATGTCTCATTACCCACCCTCCTCCTGCACCCCTACCCTTCCAAGTCTCCACTATCTGTCATTCTACACTCGATATCCATGTGTTACATGTTTAACTCCTACTTATCACTGAGAATATGCAGTATTTGTTTTTCTGGTGTCTGAATTCTTTTACTTAAGATAATGACCTCCAGTTTCATCTATGTTCCTGCAAAAGACATGATTTTATTCTTTTTCATGGCTGACTAATATTCTATTATGTATATGTGCCACATCTGCTTTATCCAAGCATCCATTAATGGACACTTAGGCTGATTTTATATCTTTGCTATTGTGAATAGTGCTGCAATAAACATACAAGTGTAGGCATACTTTTGATACAAGCATTTCTTTTCCTTTGGTAGATACTAAGTAGAGGGATTAATGGGTCGAATGGTAGTTTTATTTTCAGTTTTTTGAGGAATCTCCATGCTGTTTTCCATGGAGGTTGTACTAATTTACACTTCCACCAACACTGTATAAACGTTCCCTTTTCTCTGCATCTTTGCCAACATCTGTTATTTTTTGTCTTTCTAATAATAGCCATTCTGGCTGGTGCAAAATTATATCTCATTGTGGTTTTAATTTGCATCTCTCTGATGATTAGTGATGTTGAGCAGTTTTTCATATGCTTTTTAGCCATTTGTATGTCTTCTTTTGAAAAATATCTATTCATATCCTTTGCTCACTTTTTAATGAGATTGATTTTGTTGTTGTTGTTGAGTTGTCTGAATTCCTTATAAATTCCCAGTATTAGTCCCCTGCTGGTTACATAGTTTGCAAATATTTTTTCCCATTCTGCAGGTTTTCTGTTCACTCTGTTGATTTTTTCATTTGCTGTGCGGAAGCTTTTTAGGTTAATGTTGGAAGCTAACCGAAATTTTTTTTTAAATATTGAAAGCTAAACACAAATGTCATGAAGCCATCAGTTTACAACCAGTGCACTAAAGGCTTATCTTCAACCTAAAAAAATCTGTATGGAAAAAGAGAAGGTTCACATAAATCAACAGGATTCATGGGAAGTGTCCAGCGGACAGCGAAATAGGAAGTGGCAGAAGGACCTGGGTTCCTGATGACATTGTTGAGACAATGAACTAAACTTGGGACTGCCTACCTCCTGTCTTGTTAAGAAAACAACAAATGCTTAATGGTGTCATCCACGATCATCCAGGTTTTCTTTTATTTGCAGCCATATGCACGTTTACATATTCATACTTACATGAAGCAAAAGAAGATCAGGAACAATCTGGAGAAATAAGATGGTAGTAAGAACAGGCAATTGCCTTTGGGAAAAAAATTGTTCACTCATTCATTTTACAATTACTTATTCTGTAACCACATCTGCTGAGCTAGACCCAGAGGGTTTCAAAGATAAATCGGACTCAACCTCATGGAGCCCACAATCCAGTTGGCTTTTGCAGCTTGTCTAAGTCTACTCAGGCTGCTAGAGCAGAATACCACACATTGGATAACGTAAGTGATACTTTTATTTCTCATAGTTCTGGAGGCTAAGAAGTACAAGATCACAGTGCCAGCAGACTCAGTGTCTGGTGAGGGTCCTCTTTTTGGCTTACATATGGCCACCTTCTTGCTGTATCCTCATTTGGTGGGGAGACAGTGGGCTGCAGTCTCTTCCTCTTTATATAAGGACACTAATCCCATCATTGGGGCTCTATGGTCATGACCTAATCTAAAACTAATTACCTCCCAAAGGCCCCACCTCCAAATACCATTACACTGGAGATTAGGGCTTTGATATATGAATTCAGGGTTTGTTAGGGGTGTGGGGTGAACACAAATATTCAGTTCGTCACATGGCTCATCCTTTTAGACAAAAAGGAAAAAGAGAACTGGGTCAAAAACCAGGCAATGTGAATGGGCTGCTCACAGGTGCAATCCAGAGTACAATTTCATGCCAGGCGAGGTAAGGAAATAAATCTGTAGACCGGCCTTTGGCTGGCTGCCAAGAACATGGAGCCTGCGTACAGAAGTCAAGGACAGAGTGTGTAGACGGTGGCCCCCCATGCCTTATTTATAACCTGTTTTCATCTGGTTGCTATCTGGAAAGGCCCTGCCTCTCATCTCCTTGCCACCTTCTTGTACCATCCAATTTGACAGCATAATTTATAGTTCTCCCTTCTCAGATACTCCCTGGGCCTGAGGAAATGCAGATAAGAGCAGTGGATGACCAGGGAGAGAACTTAGGGAGGCTGGGGTGTCTGGGAGGAAGAAAAACCTGGCTGAAAATCACTCTGCCTTGTAGAGATGAGCAGGAAGCTGTTGTTTCTGCCCTCCTGTCAGTATCTCCTCCCTCTAATCTCTCCAACCATGCTCTCTGCATAGACACAAATGCCAACTGTAGGGGAAGATTGAAGCATGTTCAGCAGTCTCAGAAAGCCAAGTGAATTAATAGAAGAGGGTCAAGTGTGTCCAATAGGAAGGAACCTCCCCTCTCCCTGTCTCAGAGTCCTGATCCTCAGAAGTGGGGGTGGGCAGGTGGCACAAAGGGCAGAAAAGGTCATTTCTTCCATAAACAGCCCTATTTCCTTCTCCGAACACCCTCTCCAGGTAACCCAAAGGAAGAGATGGTCTTTGTCTTTCTCCCTCAGACCAGCATTTGCCTGAGATGGCTAAGGCTGGGCAGTGGTTAATTCATGAAAGCATAGAGAATACTGTTGTTAAGGCCCCCTCTAAAGTTCAAACATTCATAAAGTCTCTGAACTGGAAGCAAGTTTAAACACTCTCCAGCCTAACCCTGCACCCCATCCACTGCGTCAATTCATTCTGTCAAATCATTCGTTCATCCAGGCATTTCTTGAGCACCTATTTTGTGCTGTGCCAGGTGCTGAAATATAAGCAACACAGAGCCATGAACAAAACAGATGAAGAAACTTACCCAAGTGCCAAGTGGCTGTCCTACCTTAGTCTGACCAAGTAAATGAGATCTCATGACCTTCAGAGCCAGAAGACCCCTTCCTGGGACAGGTATGACTCCTCAAAGAGTCTTCCTCATTGGGCCCAAATATCCCTCTACTTTCATTCATTCTTCACATGCATTGAGCACTTACATGGGTCCAGGGCGCTTTGGGTGAAGCTTTCACCTGCTCATTGTTTCATGTTTCTCACTATTACTCTGTAAGGAAAATATTATTTCCATCTTCCAGATGGGACCTGAGCCACAGAGAGACAATGTGACTTGGCCAAGACCACCACACTGGCCGTGAAAGAGTCAAAACTGGAATTCAGGTCCTCCAACCTGAGGTCAGATACCTCGTCTGAGGCAGCTCAGACATCCTTGTTGGGTTTTGTCTGTGCAGAGGGGAGAACAACCTCCCTCACTGCGATGGATTCTGGGGGTGAAGGAGGGCTGACCCCTGTCAAGTGCAATTAATTTAAGAAGGGGCAAAGGATCTTTCTCCCATAAATATCCCGGCTTCACTGCTGCCTGGAAGCAATCTCAGCTGTTCACTAGAATCACAGAGCTATGCTTCCACTCTGCCTAAACTTGTCCTGAGGACCCCTTGGAGCCCAGGGTCACGCACTTTGCCAGATAATCCTGTAGGAATGAATTTCAAACAAGGGTGCCAGCGGGAGGAGAGGAGAGCCAGAAGACAGTGCTCTCCCTGAAACAAGCAGTGACTCACAAAGTGAGGTCAGGAGCTCCCTCCAAAATGCTCAGGCTCTCAGGGAGGGCCCAGAGGCCTTCTTTTTGCTGCTCAGTTCATCCCAACAGCCTCTCCTGCAATGTAGGGATTCAGAATCTCAGGAGTGCTTGGGTACAACTCCCTCATTTGACAGATACAGAAACTGAGGGTCAGAAGGCAAACTGCAGGCCTACAGTAACAGTCAGTGGGCTGAAGGGTCAGAAGAAGAGGTCAGGAGTTCTGAAGAAAGTCTCAGACATTGTTTGGGCAGATGTCACATCGGGTGAGTCTTTGGTAGCTGCCCAGACCTGGCCCAGGGGAGCAGCAGGGTCTCTGTGGCCATCAGGAGAAAAGGTACTGCCCAGAGTGTTCTGAAGTTACCCACTGCTGGAGTGACCTACTAGCTGTATCACCTTGTGAAATTTACTTAATGCCTTTGTTCAGCATCTTTGGCTATAAAAGGTAGATAATAATAATAATGATAATAATACCTCTGTCATTGAGTTGTGCAGATTCACTCATACAATGGTCTGAATGCTTGTATCCACCCAGTATTCACATGTTGCAACATAATCACCAATGTGATTATATTAGGAGGTGGGGCCTTTGGGAAGTGCTTAGGTAATAAAGATGGAACCCTCATGAATAGGATTAATGCCCCTATTAAAAGAGACCCAGAGATCTCCCTTCCCCCTTCTGCCATGTGAGGATACAGTGAGAAGACAGCCATCTAGGAACCAGGAAACGGGCCCTTACCAGACACCAAGTCTGCCAGCATCTTGATCTTAAACTTCTAAGCCTCCAGAACTATGAGAAAAAAAATTCTGTGGTTTATAAGCCACCCAGCTGACAGTATTTTGTCAACAGCCTGAACAGACTAAGACAACTGGAAAACTCCAAGTAAAGCACTTAGCACACAGCCTGGCCCATAGTAAGGGCTCTACTAACAGGGGCC
This sequence comes from Homo sapiens, assembly GCF_000001405.40. NCBI lineage: Eukaryota > Metazoa > Chordata > Mammalia > Primates > Hominidae > Homo > Homo sapiens. The sequence continues at coordinate 34,074,967 of NC_000022.11, read as the reverse complement.
ATGATGGTAACAACAGCTGCGTGCACTGAGCACCTGTGATATGCTAGACATCACTAGTCATTTTACATGCATTATTTCAGTTCATCCCCTTGCTTCAGTGAAACCAGATGATCTGCTTTATTTCACTACCTGAGAGAAAACTGAGACCCACAGCTTCTCCAGAGGAAACTCTGATTCCAACATCAGACATCCAGTTAATGTCAGAGGCCAGATTAGAACCTGGGTATGATCAGATTCCAGAGCCTGTGCGTGTAACCACCATACCCTTCCTGCCAATGCTGCAAGGACTCAGTTTCCCAGATAAAACGCTGAGCAGATGGACCACATCCACACTAGGCTTTCTGTCCACAAATCTGTCCTTTTCTGGACTACGAACTGCCCAAGAGCATGTTATCACCCGTCTTGTTCACTACTGTATCCCCAGCACCTGGGCGCACCTGACACTGGAGTGCTCAGTGTTTGTGGGATAACTAATTGAAGGAATATAGCATCACAATCACTTGGAAGAAAAGACTGAAGGTAAAGAATGGCTGTTCACATCCACTTCTCCTCTCTCCCTGGAACACCCTCTCTCTCCCTCTTCTTTCTTTTCATTGCTGGAAATAACATAGAATCAAAGCTTTATGGAAATCTATCTCCTTCTTAATCTTCCCACATTATTTCTACTTCTGCTATATTTAGTTTTGACCAGTCATTAGATCCCTTCCATCCCTTTTCACAGCAATCTCCTAATCATCCTATGAAACCCAACTCAAATGCTGCCTCCTCTAGGAAGTCTTCTCCACTCTATTGAAGGATATCAGTTCTAGCCTTGGGTGATCCTGCAAGATTTTTATTGTTGTTGTTGTTGTTGTCCACGGCTCTGTGAACTTGCACTTACCAGGCTGAAACCTCTGCCTGCCACCAGTGGTACATCAGTTGTCCACCCCATAGAAAAAGTTACCTAGGGGCGGCACTGTGTCTTCTTATTTCTGCCTACAGAATTTATCTAGCACAGTTGCTGGCAGCAAGAAGGCACTCAGGAAATGTACTGAATGAATGAATGATCAGTTCTTCAATAAGGGACTCACTACTTTTAGGTAAGTAGCATTCAGACCTGCAATAGCTATTTCTTAAGTGCCTATTCTGCATTGGGCACACAAGCGTTATGCCCAGTGTTGGGCTGAAGCATTAAGCAAAGCAAGAGAGATAAGAAGCAAGTACAGAAATAAAGAAACAGGAGTTTGACGCCAGCCTGGCCAATGTGATGAGGCCCTGTCTCTACCAAAACTACAAAAATTAGCCAGCCATGGTGGTACATGCCTGTAAGCCCAGCTACTTGGGAGCCTGAGGCAGGAGAATCACTTGAACCTGGGAGGCAGAGTTGCAGTGAAACGAGATCACGCCACTGCACTCCAGCCTGGGTGACGGAGTGAGACTCCGTCTCAAAAAAAAAAAAAAAAAAGAAAGAAAGAAACAGGATATTTTAGAGAGGGATGAGTGCGATGAAGACAATAATGCAGAGATATGAGAGAAAGTCACTGAAGAGCTCTTATAGACAAGAGGTCAGAGCAGCCTCCCTGAGGAGGTGACATTTGAGCTGAGATCCGTATGACCAGAAGCAGCCGACGGGAAAATCAGCAACACTGGGCTAGGAAGAATGAGCATCCTGGGGAAGGGCTTTCGGGAGGAGCAAGCTTAGGGTGTTGGGGGTACGGCAAGGGGACCAAGGATGGGAGTGAAGAAAGGGCGGAGGAGATGAGCTCAAAGACTATGCAACAGCAGGACTGTTTGGCCTCCTGGGCCATGGTGAGCACATCAAGAGGGTTTTAAGCAGAACAGATGGCCTTATGTTTTGGTGAGATCACTCTGGCTGAGCTGACAAGAATGAGTTTTTGAAGCTATAGCAGGAGTAGATGCAGGAAAACCAGTTAGGAGGCCACTGCATTAGTCCAAGTGTGAGCTGACAGTGGCTGACCAAGATGTACTAATGGTGATAATGGGGCAGAAAATATTTCAGAAGTGGCACCTACAGAATTTACTGGTGTACTGGGTGCAGACAGTAAGGAAAAGACAGGAGTCAAGAGTGGTTATTGTATGCTCAGGGTTTCTAAAATAACACATCCCCATTACTCAGACGCCTATAGAGAGGACATGCTTCCATCTCTCCTCCACATCCAGCAGATGGTGCCTGAGTGTGAAATCTACCCAGCACGGCCCGGCTGCCTCTTCCTACTCCCCAACCCACCTTCACTTGAACGAGCATCTTTTCCTCCTCAAAAGTACTTCCTGAGCCTGAAAGTCATTGCTATTGATTTATCCAGCAAAATGTAATTTGGGAAAAGCTGGTGTCCTTCTCTTTCTGTAAAGAATCATTTGTACCCAAGAAAGCACTATGTAAAGGATGATGGCTTCCATCAATTACAGCCCCATTGTGGGGGTGGTAAAGCCATTTTTGTGAGTCAACAAAGCCAGGGGAGTGTTAGGAACCAAAATATTTTAATAATGTGCTGATTTTGAAGGAGGTTTGGTGTCTTGGAGGGAAGTGGCCTGAGCCAGCTGCATGCATTTTTGCCACGTGGTTGCAGGAGCCCTTTGAGAAGGTTGGGAGCCTCATTACCTCAATAGCCTATTGTAGATAGCGCACCATTAAATCCTAAGCTGGGCTGTGAAATTGATTTTTTGCATTTTATTTTCATGCTTTGCTGTGGTTTGAATGCATCCCCCCCCAAAAAAAAAAAGTTAAAAACTTAATCTCCAATGCAATAGTGTTGACAAGTGGGGCTTCATGAGAGGCGATTAGGCCATGAGGCAGAAGTGAGTAAATTAATGCATTATCATGGAAGTGAGTTCCTTGTAAAAGCATGAGTTTGGTCTCTCTCTCTCTTTCTCCCCCCACTTCATTCTCTCTGTCTGTCTTCCTCCTCTCTCTCTCTCTCTGCCTCTCTCCCTCTCCCTCACTTTTCTCTTCCATTCTTGCATCATGTGAGGAACAGTTTCCCGCAGTGTTCAAGGTACCATCTTGGGAAAAGAGAACAAGCCCTCACCAGACTCCAAAGCTGCTGACACCTTGATCTTGGACTCCCCTGCCTCCAGAACTATAAGAAATAAATCTTTCTTCTTTATAAACTACCCAGTCTCAGGTGTTCTGCTATAGCAGCACGAAACAAAACAAACTAAGACACATTTTAAATGACAGATATGGGAAGGTGGGTGGCTACTTACTTTGAGAAACCAAAATCCAAAGATGGAAAATACACTCCACCTCCTGATCCCATTCTTTCCTCCCCCACCTGGTACATATGTGGCAGGTTGAGCCCCTTAGCAGGTTGTCAGACCAACTTTGCTCACAACATATACCCAGCATGTATTAATTTAGTCCTGCAAACAAAATATGTTATTGAATGTCTTCAGATGCTCTGGGATTATAGCCATGAGCAAACAGAGGCAAGGTCCCTACTCTCATAAAATTCACATTCCAGTAGAGAAGAAGAGAATGAAATAACACATAAGATAATTTCATAGAGTAATGTAATAAAGATCATATAGCTGATTGCTATATAATAACTCCAGGGCATGGTCTGGCAAACCTGTCTTGTGAAGAGCCAGAGAGTAAATATTTTTGGCTTTGGGGCCACACAGTCTGTTGCAACTACTCAACTCTCCTGTTGTACTATGAAAGCAGCCTTAGACAACAGGAAAAGAATAATAGACAATAGTAAAGGAATAAGGAATGAAACAGAACAGGTGGCAAGCCAATCGCCTTCTCTAGGGGAAAGTGGAAGAAATATTTAGTAGGATGGAGTGAAAAGATGATGATATTTAAGGTGAAGTCAGAATGAGAAGAAACCAGCTACATATAGAAGGGAGGCATTTAAGACAAGGGAATAGCATGTGCAAAGCCTGAGTCAGGACTATTTCAAGAACAGAAATGTCTACTGGTAAGGTAGGGCAAAGGGAAGAGGAAGGAGACACAGCAGTGCAAATTCAGGTCAAGAGGTGGGCAGGAATTAGGTTGCAAAGGGCCTCCTAGTCCATGGTGAGGCCTGGCACATAATAGACCATCCTGCTGTTGCATAACCTCTGAGCTCGTCTTCTCCACTGTTTTTCAAACCCTGCTGAAAGAGACAATAAGAAACTAGAGAATTTTCGAGAAAGAAAGTACAAGACCACGATCCTTTATCCACTCTCTTGAAATTTTAAAAACTGACAACTGAAGGTTTTTTCCTAAGTTTGGCACAAAATCACTTGGCAGCAAACACTGTCTGAATGTACAGGAGGCTATTTATGGTCTTTATTTATCCCTCTTCATGTGAATATTCATGTATTTCACTCTTACATGTTTGGGTGTGGGGTACTGCCCATAGTACAATGCCAGACCTACATAATACACTACATCTGGCTATTCCTCCATCCAAAAGATTCTGAATTTCTGGAAGTCTCAAAGTTTTAGATAAAAGATTATGGACTTCTACCATGATCAGATTCATAGTCTTTAGGAGGAAAACTCTATTTGCAGTTTTAAAGATAAACTGGAGGAAGCAGAGAAGGAAGCTAGTTAAGAAACTACCGGAAAACCGGTGGTGAGAAATATGGAGAGTTGTACCAAGCTGGAGATGCTGGGGATGGAGGAGTTTGGGAGATATGTCCCAGGAGGATCAACATAACTCAGTGCCTGATTGGAGGTGGGAGGTAAGAGAGGAAGGAATCCAGGATGAGCCTCATGCTCCTCGCTTGTAAGAGTGGACAGATGGTGAGCCATCCCCCACAAGAGAAAGCCGAGGATGATTAGAATTAAGAAGAAAAAATGCTAAATGCCAGGTTGGACATGTGTATGTGAGGTTCTTCTGCATCCTGTGCTTGCAGACATGTGGTAGGGAATTGGAAATGTGGGTCTGGAGCCCGGGAGAGAAGCTGGTGTCAGAGGTACAGATTTAGGAGGTGTCGTGAGTTAATAGTGTTCCCCAAAATGACATGGCCAAATCCTAACCCCAGTGTCTGTGAATGTGACCTTATGTAAAATTAAAGTCTTTGCAGATGTAATTAAGTTAAAGATTCTTAAAGTGAGATCATTCCGGGCTTACAGTGGGCTCTAAATCCAATTATTGTTATCCTTCTAAGAGAAAGAAGAGAGGTTTGAGACAACACAGAGGGAACGCTACGTGAAGACAGAGGTAGAGATTAGAGTGACGCAGTGCAAGCCAAGAAATGTCAAGAATTGCCCAAGCTACCAGGAGCTAGGTGGGAGGCATGGAATGGATTGTCCCTCAGAGCCTCCAGAAGGAACCAACCCTGCTGACATCTTGCTGTTGAACCTCTGGCCTCTAGAACTGTGGGAGCATACATTTCTGTTGTTTTCAGCCGCTCAGTGTGTGGTCATCTGTTATGGCAGCCTCAGGAAACTAACACAAAAAGTTCCAGTCATGCAAGGCACTTTCAGTCTCAGAATATGGTGAGAAACAGCCAGGCACCATGGCTCACGTCTGTAATCCCCACATTTTGGGAGGCCGAGGCGGGTGGATCACCTGAGGTCAGGAGTTCAAGACCAGCCTGGCCAACATGGCAAAACCCCGCTCTACTAAAAAATACAAAAATTAGCCAGCCATGATGGTATGCACCTGTAATCCCAGCTACTCGGGAGACTGGGGCAGGGAGAATTGCTTGAACCCAGGAGGTGGAGGTTGCAGTGAGCAGAGATCGTGCCACTGCACTTCCAGCCTGGACAACAGAGAAAGAGTCCATCTCAAAAGAAAAAAAAATATGTATACATATATATGATGAGAGAGGAGAGAGGGACCTAAGGGCAGAAGTCAGACGACCCCAACATTGAGTAAACAACAGAATGGGGACTGAGAAAGGGCAGTGGGAGAGGTAAGATGAGAACTGTGAGAGTGGATGCTCAGAAAGTCATACACTCCAGGCAGGAAGATGTGCTCTACGGTGTAAAATTTTGCAGGGGAGACACACAGAATTAAGGCTGAGGAGGAATGCCAGATTTAGGATGCAGGTCATTAGTGACTTTGAGTTGGAGCAATTTCAGTAAGCTAAGGAATAAATAATATGTATGAAAAGTGAAATCAGTAAAGGATTCTTTCAAGAAGTTCATCAATAATGAAGGGAAGACAGTAGCTTGAAAGGGCTTAGGGTCCGGAGAAATGGTTTTAGGGTGGGAAACATGAGTGTGTTTACAGGCTGTTTGTAGGAACTAGTGCTTGGGCAAGATTGTCAAGGTAGAACAGAGGAAAGGAAATGAAGGAGCTAGGACTATGTAATAGATATAGTCAACTATCTGTCAACATTTGGGGTGCCTAGTACAGAGTGTTTCTTAGTATGAAGCTATTCTTGGGAAGCAGTTACCCAGTGAGAGGCAACTTTCCTCAGCACCCCCTTGTAGCTAGGTAGGTACATGTGATCATTTCTCACCAAAGGAATGGAGTGGAAGTGGTGAAGGTCTCCTCTGAGCCAAGGTGGGTGAGAAGCGGGTATACCTTCTCCACTCTTTCTTCTCCTATTCGCCAACTGGAGGCAGAGAAATTCACGGTCCTTGGGGATGGCAGCACCGCAAAACAAAAGAAGCCTAGGTTCTTAAATCACCACCTAGGGAAAAGTCTCCCATTAATAGGAAAATCAGTGTTATGTGGGTGAGAAATAAACATTGTCTTAAGTCACTGAAATATGGGAGTTTATTTGTTTTAACAGCTGGTGTTACTCTAATACAGTCTGCATATTATGTATACCCTGATCTCATACTGCTGGGCTCCTGCCACCTGCTAGAGAGCTCAACTCCTGCCAGACTAACTCCTTAATGACCATCTGCCTGGCATCTGTCCCTTTCCAACTAAAGGTCTTTCATTCATTGAACACAAATGTATTAATCGCCTACAATGTGTAATGCACTTGGAAGGAGGTAGGAATGCAGCCATGTACACGATGAATCTCTACCATCATGTGACTTATATTCTAATGGAACAGACAGACAGACAGTAAACACATAAACATAGAATATAATATCAGGTAGGACTATGATATGCTATAAGTAAATAAATAAAGCAGAATGAAAGGATAGAAAGCGGTGGGGAGGATGTGGTGCAATTGAAAATAAGTTGGTCACAAAGGCCACTTTGAGGACGTAATGTGGATGAAGAGACTTACATTAAGTCACCAGACAGACAAAGAAAGAGGTAGAGGAAATGTAACTCAGACAGAGGGAGCAGCTCACACAACAGCCCAGGGAAGAGAATATGCTTGGCATCTTTGGAGAGCACCATGGCCAGCACAAGGGGAGTAACTGATAGGAGGTGAGGCAGAAAAATGATTAAGAGCCAGATTGTAGGGGGCCATGGAAGCACTCTCAATCCTGTCCTAAGAAATAGGGAGCCCCTGACTCTGTTTAGCCTCAGCGGCAGGGAAGGCTTCACTAAGCATTTTCCAAGAGCCTGGTCCTTTCTTGCAGACATGTCCAGTTTCTAGGACTCAGCTCCTGTCCATCTTGTTCCCTGCCCTGTTATGTGTTCTGAACCCCCACCTCTCCCCAACCTCCAGCACTGACCAGCCAGACTGCTGGGTGCATTTGCCAAGGATAAGCAAGGTAAAGGTGTTTTTCATAGAGAGGTGACTCTTCTGCAAAGAAAATAAAGCTCATACATAGGCTTACGAGCAAAGCAGCAGCACCCACGAGGCAGTGAGCACTAAGTCTATATTTGATCTGAAAAGCATGCAGACAGGCGGGCGGGAGCCCAAACACAACTGCTTATGCCTTATGCGATTGCAAGTGAGTAATTTTGCCTCCTGGAGTTCCAGGAAGTTCCTCCAGCTCTGAAACAGAGCCATCCCTCATACTAGAAGGCTGCAAAAATACATGGAAGGGCTTTGGGGCCTCCACAGGTGGAAACACTTTCAACCGTCACAATAACTCGCTTTTGCAAACTGCACTTCACTCATTACATCTATGTCAACCTCCTGACATCAATCTAAGTGGGTAACTAGCCAATTTTATTTTTTAAATGAGGAAAATCTGACCTAGAAAGGGAAAATAATATGCCTAAGATCACAAAGCCAGGGACTGGGTTATTCTTGTGAACCTTAGTTTTAAAATGTAATTATTCTTCCCTGCTTGAAATTGTCCATGGGTACTTAAAATAAAATTTGAACCCTTTCCCGTGTCCTTCAAAGTCTTATACCAGAAATTAGCAAGCTACAGCCCATAACCTTATCTTTTTTTTTTTTCTTGAAACAGAATCTCACTCCGTCACCCAGGCTGGAGTGCAGTGCCATAATCTCGGCTCACTGCAACCTCCGCCTCCCAGGTTCAAGTGACCCTCCTGTCTCAGCATCCCAAGAAGCTGAGACTACAGGTGAGTGCCACCATACCCAGCTAATTTTTGTATTTTTAGTGGAGACAGAGTTTCGCCACATTGGCCAGGCTAGTCTCGAACTCCTGACCTCAGGCGATCCACCCGCCTCGGCCTCCCAAAGTGCTGGGATGACAGGCGTGAGCCGCTGCGCCTGGCCAATGTGATCTTATAAATAAAGTTTTATTGGAACACTGCCATGCCCATGTATTTACATATTGTCTGTGGCTGCTTTGTACCATGGCAGAAGTGCTGAGTAGTTGTGACAGAGGCAGCATGGCCCACAAAGCTGAAAACATTTATGATCTGTCCCTTTACAGAACAAGTTTGCAAACCTCTGATCCCCATGGTCTATCCAAGCCAATCTTTCCTTTCTGATCTCTTTCATTCTCCCTTCTACTCAAGAATTTCTAGTCACATTGGTTTTCCTTCTCTTCCCCAAACAAACCCGGATTTTTCTACCTTGGGGCCTTTGCACTTGCCATTCTCCCTGCCTGAAATGAATTCCCTCGCCCTGTGCTGGCTGCCTTTCCAACTCTCACACTGCTGACTCTCAGGGAGGCTTCCCATGATCTCCCCATCTAACATGGCCTGGTCCGACGTCAAACTCGCTCTGCTTTTATTTATGTATGTATGTACGTACGTACGTACGTACGTACGTACGTATGTATGTATGTATGTATGTATTTATGGCATATATCACCTTTTAAGTTATCTTATTTGTTTATCTACTTATTGCCAGAGTGTCGCACTAAAATAACATCTCCATGGGAACAGGCACTCTGTCTCAGTCACAAGGAAATCCATGATATTACAATAATGCCTGACACATAGAGGGTATTTCATAGCCAGGTGCTCAATGAATTTCATAGCCAGGTGCTCATAATTCATAAAGAATTAATGAATGCATCATAACTAATCCTTATTCTACACATCAGGCTTTCTCAACCTTGGCACTGTTGACATTGGGACTGGGTAAGTCTTTGTTGTGGGGTTGTCTTCTGCATTCAAGAATGTTGAGGGGGCATCCCTGGCACCTGCCTATTCGATGCCAGTAGCATCCTTGCAACCCCTCCCCCCTGGAATTGTGACAATGAAAAATGTCTCCTGACATTGCCAAATGTTCCCTGGGGGACTAGGGAGCCAGGAACTGAGCCCTAATTGAGAAACACTGGGCTACATGGTTTAAAATTTCCCTTGGAGCTTAAAATATAATGGCAAGCTTTTACCCAGGTCCATAATCATTCCAGATTTCTAATTAATTATAGCCTCGCCTATGGGTGACCTCTGCTTTAGGGCCAGCTCCTTGACAAGTTGATGAAATTGCTTCTTTAAGGAAGTATCAGCATTGTTTTGGAAACAAAAGTCCAAGTCAGAAACTACTTTAATGTTTTCAGTAAGGAATGATTAATAATGAGGGAGCCGGAATGTATAGAGCTACAAGTTATTACCCCATTCTTGACTGACATAAACGTAAAGAGATGTTGTTTTATTGCAGTGAGGATGGTAGAGGGGAGGAGGCAATGTGGACAGAGAGGCCAAGGTCCTCTCTTGAGGATTTGGCCATTTACAGGGGATCAGAATTATTAATGTGAGTGTTTTGTTAAGTCTTTTTCCACGACAAGAAGAAAAATGGATGAGCACAGAGATAAAGCAAATGCACGGACTGGCAAGGGCTGCCTGCAATCTCTGGGGTACACAGGCAAAGGGAGGATGTGGAGTCATTTAGTGGTCTTGTTTTCTGCGAGGAAAATGCTGAGTGCGGGGAGTCTGCTGGTGCTGCAACCTGGCTCCTGCCGCTGCTTTGATGAAGGGCTGGTCAATGCATTTTGCTCAGTTCCTGGGGATGGATTCTATTTTAATAGCTCTGGCCCCCCTGGGGAGTGGCTTAATGTGCCACCCAATGGATACGGCCATGTCTCCGAAAAGGATGGTTGCCCTTCAGCTGGTGACCCATGAGGAGGAACTCAGGCCAGGAAAGGCTGCCTTGACCCATAAGCAGCATTTTCTGATAAGAGTGAGAGTTGGAGGGGAGACATTGGGTAGCTCGGTCGGTGTCTAAGAACCAGGCCATTGAAGTAAGTAAATTTCTCCCAGACTGACTCCCCCTGGATCCTTTTTTCCCTTCTGACAGCCTCCGGGGACTAATCCTGCTTCCTGGTCCTCATCATAGCTGCCAGAACTTCCTGTATTTTTCACACTTTGTCTCTCACCAAAGACTAGTTTCAGATCAAGATACAGTCCTGACTCCCGATTTTCATTGAAGAAAACAAGCACACTGCCTTTTTATTCTTGGGGTTTCAGGGCTGAGAAGTAGACAGGGGTGAATGACAATAGTACAAAAAAGAAATGTCTTTGTGGAATATGTTGTTTTTAATTTTCTAGCACTCATTCCCCCTTCTAATTGTAACACTCACATTTGGGGGGAATCCACTGCTCCCTAACTCTGAGTCTTTAGGATCTGGGTCTGGCTAGCCTCAGCCACACTAGATTCAGGGGTAGGCACGAGACCCAGGCCTGCGCCAATCATGCTATTCCATCCTTCTGTTCATAGTCATAGGCTCACAGGTGGACAAATGGCCCAGGTCAATCCAATCATCATTAATTTGAGGGCTTATCCTGAAGGTGGGGAAGAGCAATGTTCCTTCTGCCTAATTTGGGGAGAGAACAGGATGAAGGCCAGGAGTTGACAGAAACCATTTTGCCACCACCACTGGGGAGCCAGCCAATGGCTTCAACAGTGGAAAGCAGAAGATGAGGTGGGACACCATGACTGCATCACAATGACCATGTGGGCCTCTGGGTACAGCCATGCCTGAAGCTATCCCTAGTCCTGAACTTGTCAATTACATAAGATATCAGTTATGTAAAAGGTCTAATTTTTTAATCAATCATATTAGGGTTAGATTTTGTATCTCTTACAAAAAAGAACCTTGTATTTTAACTGACAAGTTCCCAGATTCTCATAAATTTCTCAGATACATGGTCTTTAGTTAATGTTTGTTTACTTTATTCTCTGTGACTCCTGAGCCCCTTTCTTGAATAGTAGGTAGATAATCCTTCCTGAGAGGATTCCTTCTTTAATCTCAATACTGGAAGCTTCTAAATGTGTGTTTTTTGAGTACTTCATATGTTCAAGACACTATACTTGGTTCTTTACCTAGGTTTTTTTTCCCCATTTAACTCAGGTTATAAGAATATGTGGTAGATCTTCTTACCCCATTTAAAGATGAACAAACTGAGATTCAAAACACAAAGTATGTGGTGAATGTCAGACAGCTAATAAGTGGCAAGGTGAGCATTTAAACCCAGATCCCCTCTCTTTAGTCATATAAGCTCCTCTCCCACTGAAGCCTGGAGTTACAATCAGGCAGGGCAACAGTGATGTACGGCTTGATGATTCAGTAACGACAACACAATTCACCATTTGAGGACTCAGCATAAGTTAAAGCCTTGGGCTAAGTACATTAACTATAATATCTCTAGTACTCACACAATATTGTAAGATAGAAATTATTTTCTTGTCTTCATCCCCATGTTATGGACTGGAGATACTAAGCCTCAAAAAACTTAAAACAACTTGCCCGAAGTTATACAGTTATTTCAAGAAGAGATGGAATACCAAACCACAGAGACACCAAAGCCAGGGTTCTTCCCAGTAGGCCAAATTTCCTCCCAAGCCTCAAGTGAGAAATTAACCTCTTAAGAGCGTTGCTTTCTCCCTTCCCTATAAATCTCTGCTCCATAAAAGAAAGCTCTTCTTAGGAAATCCCATCATATGCCATCCACTTAAATGCTTGATACTGAAAAGCTCAACTTCCCAGTTAAAATGAAATGCTTGAAATCTGAGTCCATGACTTACACATCCTCCACACACCCAGAGGCATAGCCGGTGCATCACAAATACTTACTGAACAAATGAGGAAATCCTACACTGTTTCCTTAAAACCCTAAGTCTAGGTCTTTTGCCCAAGTGAAGGCCATGGAGATTTCCCTGGAAATCCTGCTGAAAATGCAGATACCCAGATATAAGCCCGGGCCTGCCGGATCAGAACATAAGGAGACAGTGCCCAGGAACCTGTGTATTAGCAGGCACCCAAGTGAGAGTTCTGTGCATCAAAGTGTCTCCTAAACAGCAGCCAATCTAAGGGATGAACCTGTGCCTTATTCTTTCATGTAACACATTTCTTGAGTGTCTCCTTTCCAATTTGTACCTTGCTGACTATTAAGAATAAACTGTAACCAAGGTCCCTGCCCTCAAGGAACTTGGAAGAGGAAAAAGAAAGCATAGAAACAATGACAAAAGCTATTATTTACTTTCAATTGTGTCAAGTTTCACTGGAACACACGATGGGAGGGTTTGACCTTGTCTCCGTTTATACGTTTGTGTAGAGGGAGCACTGTAGGCCTTGTGGGCCAAATTACTTACATTCTAGGCTCTGAAGATTGGGTATTAACTAACCAGATAAAGAGAGAGAAAAGTATTGCAGGCATAAGTAATAGCATGTGCAAAGGCCTTGAGATGGAAAGATTAAAAAGAAAAAGGTTATAGAAACTAAAGGAAAGGGAGAGGGTTTAGCTTGGAAAGACAAGGTAAAAATGCTGCATTGTAATGCTAGTGAAGAGCATCATGGAAGGGTTTGTAGACCACAATCAGATTTCCATTTTTAAAATATCCACCCAGCTGCTTTGTAGAGAAGAGCTAGGAACAGGACAGGAATGGAAGCAGGAAAACCAATGGGGAGGCTATTGTTACCCAAGCAAGAAATAAAAGTGATGTGGATAAGGGTGGTTGTGGACAAGGGAGAGACACAATATATATTTGGGAAATAAAAATGGCAAATCTTGGTGATGGATCAGATACCAATGTTAAAGGAGAAGAAAGAGTTGCAAATGACTCGATGCAAACACACCAGAAGGGAACCAGGGTTCAGTCAGGGAATATGGATGAGCTTGATTTTGGAAATGCTGAATTTAAGTGTATCATAGGCAAGGCTCAATTGCAGGCAACAGAAACCACTCTAGCTATTTTAAGCAGTAATGGATGTAATTCCCAGAATTATGTGTTCTCTCAGTTATCTTTTACCACATAACAATCCACTCCAAAACTTTGTGGCCTATAGTAAGAGCCATTTACTTAGCTCACAGTTCTACAGGCTGTTGATCTGAACTGGGCTTAAATGGTCAGTTCTTCTTGTCTTGGCTGGCCTCACTCTTGTCTATGGTCACTTGTAAATGAGCTAAAGCAGCTCTGCTTCTGGGCATTGACTGTCTACTGGTTGAGGGTGATGAGGATCACTAGGCCGCATCTTTCTCATCACTTGGCAGGGTAGCTTGGGCAATGCACATGACTCCTGGAAGAGCTGCAAAAGAGAAAATGCACACAAGGCCTCTTAAGGTGTAAGCTCAAATGGGCACAATGTCACTTAGTCTCATTCTGTTGGCTAAAGCAAGTTACAAAGCCAGCCCAAATTCTTCTTTTTTTTTTTTTTTTTTTTTTGGGAAAGAGTCTTGCTCTGTCACCCAGGCTGGAGTGCAATGGCACAATCCTGGCTCATTGCAACCTCTGTCTTCTGGGTTCAAGCGATTCTCCTGTCTCAGCCTCCTGAGTAGCTGGGACTACAGGCGCCCGCCACCATGCCTGGCTAATTTTTGTATTTTTAGTAGAGATAGGATTTTGCCATGTGGGCCAGGCTGGTCTCGAACTCCTGACCTCAGGTGATCGGCCCACCTCGGCCTCCCAAAGTGCTGGGATTACAAGCGTGAACCACCGTGCCTGCTCATCCAGCCCAAATTCTAAGAGTGGGAAAATAGACTACCTCTTGATGGAATGAGCTGCAAAGCCTCATTGCAAAGAGGCATAGACATGAAGAGGAAGAAGGGATTGTGGCCATTTTTGCAAACAATATACCCCAGGTACTTAGAAAATTACTGGAAGGACTGAGGAAACAAGCCCCATGCTCAGCCTCTAGCAATGAGTGAGAATTTGCCTGCTGGGGGAAATTCTGCCTCTGCCACAATCAGGAACCTGGAAAATCCAGAGGCCACAACCAGGACCACTGACTTTAACAATATGCCATTGTCATTGTGACCCAAGAATCGAGAAGCCACTCTTGCTGCCACTTCAGCAGCAACAGCTTTTCCACATCCTGGAAGGCGGTGATAGGAGCCTGGAACCCCTAAGAAGAAAAATCTAACGTCTCAGCTACTGAAGCAGGAAGATGGCCTTTACCTTCCAAATATCATGAAAGTGTCTATAATTGGAGGAACCTGATTTTTAACCTGATTTCACTGCAATGCCAGCTGCAAGGGAGTCTGGGAAGTATAATTAATATAATATATTGCTAGCTTTCCAGCCTCACTAGTATAGGAAGTTACTCTAGAAGGACTTTGGAATGAATGCTGGGTGCCAGACCACCACAAATAGCTCAAGGCAATTGTGAAAAAGCCACACAGAAATGATACAGAAGCAACTGGATAGACGTAACTATGACTCAGGTAGGAAGTCCAGGCTGATTTGATCTGGAACAAAGATCTGAGGAATTTATCATTGCCTGCCTAGGACTCATACCAAGACCAAACATCCTAACCATTCTGGAATATAGTTAGCATCCTATCCCATCCTCATTTCACAATGCTTCTTGCTTTCCTTAAATTACACTAAGGAGGCAGGAGTCTAAGCTTGCTACTCGATAGCTCTGTGAATTTGACAGTCCTCCTCCCTCCCACAGCCTTGGTTTTTTCCAAGTACAGCAAGATGAGGAGCATTTATCTGGATAGATGAATCTTAAAAGTCCCTTTTAACAATAGATTATATGAGCATTCCTTGCCTCCATTGCACAGGTACCATTTATCCTCCCGCTCCTGAGTCTCTTTGTCAAATGTATGCTTCCCAGCAGATGGAAGGGCTTATTCACTTGATACTTGGCAATTACAGCGAGGGAGGTGCCCTGGCTGCCTGCCAGGCTGTCCTGCTCCTCACCCCTGCTGAGCAGCAGCCATGACCCCAGGCCTGGGCTCCCTCCTTTCTCTTGCCTCATTTCACCCCTCCCACCTACACATACTGGTACCCACCCAGGACCAGACCTGGCCTCAACCTGGGGGGCAATTATAGGACATAATTCAATTGTCATACAGAGGCAGCTTAGTGGCTGGAATGTCAGTAAACCCCTTATTACTCAGAGGTTACTCAGAGAACAGCCTGGTGACTGGTAAAAATGGGAACCAAAGAGCTTCTTTCTGTTGGAAGTAAAGCTCAGAGTCTCAAAGAAAATGAGCACTCAAACAAAAGATTTCTCAGCAAGGCAAATTTACTTCTGTAGAAGGGTGCTTCTCGCAGGGCTGATTGCCATGAGAGCACTCCAAACAAAGGAGGGAAAGGGTTTTTTTTATTCCTAACGCAGCTTGTCCCTACTACTGTGTCCTGTCTCCACTGGCTGGAGTTGGACCACACAATCTAAACTGAACCCGATTGGCTAACCTGAAAGACAGCTTTGGTGGAAAAAGCCATTACAGTGGGAGAGGTAAATTATAGAGTGAGTAGCAGATGTGGGCTCTATAGATAAGGAACATTTGGAGAGTTGCTTACTGGAACCAGGAGCAGAGAGGCACAAAGGATAAGGAAGTTGGATCTTGAAAGCAGAGAACAAGAAACTAAACAAACTAAACCTTTGAAGAGGAACTTCTCTTGGAACTGATACTCCTATTGGACTATGCAATGGAACTAAAGGATCAACTGAGAGAGGTAACCAAAGACAGAAAAATCTAAACATTTAAAAGTTCTCTTTGTCTAATAATAGAATATGAGAAATAATTTGGCCAGGGTAATGCCCCAGACATAAAAATGAGTCACACATATCTCTATATTTGGAGACTACTCTTAGTGCACTTAGCAGAATGGTGGGCATCCAATGTTTTACTGTCCTTATTACGGGTTCCAAATTGCTTATTCCAGGAACTGACATAAAGAGTCCCCTCTCCCACCTCTTGTCTCAAATTTTAGTCCTGAACAGATAACTCCCCTATTTTCAGTCAGGGAAGAATCAGTCAGGAGTCTATTGCAGAAATTCAGGTAAGAGGTGATATTAGGGATGGTGGAGGCTCAGCAGAGGTAGTGGCAGTGGAGATGCTAAACAGTGGTCAGGTTCTGGAGGGAGGGTTAGCCATCAGAATTTGCATTTGTTGGGGGTTAAGTTCCCTTAAACTGAGAATAAAGGAATTTGGAATGTCTTCCAATTGTTTTGGCTTGAGCTACTGTATGGATAATGTTGACATCTGTTGAAATTGAGATGTCTAGAAGAACAACAAAGCTGGAGAGTAAAGGTGATAACTTTGCTGATGTTACACTTGAGATGTTCATAGGCTGCTGAATTGGACATGTGAAATAAGACAAATGGGTATGGGAATCTGGAACACAGGAAGGTCAGGATCAGAGATAATTTCTGCATTATCACCAAATACATAGTTTACAAAGGCTTGGACTGGATCACTCAAGGAAAGGATACAAACAAGACAGGAAGCCTAACCTAAGCCCAGGGGCAGTCTATTATTTTGAAACCAGTCAGAGGATAATAAGTCAGCAGAGGACAATTAAAAAGCTAGTGAGGTAGGAGTCTACGCAGGACAGGATGGTATCCTGAAGCCAAGAGCTTCAGCAGCCGAATAGAAGAGGACATAGAAGTCCAAATCACCCCTCCTGGAAGGACATTCGATCAGTGACGTCATCTTCACAGAGCAAGGGAAGCACTTGCAGAGGAAATGATGTTGAGTAAATAACTATATGATAATCAATAACCATATCAGGCAGAAGAACAATTTGGTTCAACAATAATTGTAAGCTAAAATTACAGATCACAGTTTGCATTCATTTTGAGAGCTTAAGCTGGAAAGCCTCAGTCCCTAAAATAGGTAGAAAACAAATGGACAGAAAAACTCACTGTGTACTCAACTTCATTCTTTGGCTAATATCTCCAAAGTTTCCACTAATTTTTCTAAAAGTCTTAATGTGCAACTTATAATTGTTTTGCGATGCTTTCAACTGTAGCTAATCAGTGGTAATTTAAAGTGAAATGAGATGCTTCTGTTACACAAGGCAGAAGAACACCAGAGAAAGGAGAGGGCTGATTCAGATTGTTCTAGATCCAGCGGTTCTTAACCTAAAAACCTTGGGGAGCTGTGGATAGAACTCGGGGGTCTATGAATTTGGATGGCAAAACATTTGTTCATCATTATTCACTAACCTCTGATATTTGGCATTTCCTTCAGTATCTTTGACTCTGTCACCAAAATCAATCACAAATATCTTTATATCATATTATAGTTGTTGCAGATACCTGGAAATACCATCTATACTCATCTACTTCAAAGAAGACCTGCATCTAGGTTTTTATTATTTAATGCATTAATAAAGAAACACATGCATTATTATATCATAATTTTGGTTTGTTTTCTTTTATAGCTATCTTAGTAACTGAATTTGAATATAATTATTTGGTACTCCTTTGTATTTTATCTTTCTTTTTGAGATGGAGTCTCACTCTGTCACCCAGGCTGGAGTGCAGTGGTGCCATCTCAGCTCACTGCAACCTCCACCTCCCGGGTTCAAGCGATTCTCCTGCCTAAGCCTCCTGAGTAGCTGGATTACAGGCATGCGCCACAACGCCCGGCTAATTTTTATATTTTTAGTAGAGATGGGGTTTCACCATGTTGGCCAGGCTGGTCTTGAACTCCTGACCTCAGGTGATCTGCCCACCTTGGCCTCCCAAAGTTCTGGGATTATAGGCGTGAGCCACTGCGCCCAGCCACGTTTTATCTTATGCATCTAAAATAATTATTCTGAGAAGGAGTCCATAAGCTTCACTAGACTGCCAAAGGAATCTATAATATAAAACAGATAAAGAGACAGTGTCTAGAAGAAAGTATGGCCCCAGCAGAAGAGAATTGCTTCAGGAAGACTAGAGATGATAGTGACAGCAGGAGCAAACTTGATCTCAAGGAGAAGAGATGCAAGAGGTGAGATACCACACGTAAGAAAAGAGAGACTGTGCCTCAGAAAATCTAGAAAACATCAAGTAGGAGAACTCAAAACATTATACTTCTTCATACACCTGGGTAACAAAAAAAAGGGGGGGGTGGTGTTCCTTTTTTTGGAATAGACTGAGGCAGAAAAGTCCAAATCAGCAATTTCATACTAAAGGTTAAAAAAGACAATAGTGTAAGTGAGGGATTATTATATGAACATTTCCCAATATAGGGATGCCAGACTTAGCAAATAAAAATATAAGATGACTAGTTGAATTTTGATTCCAGATAAACAAAGGATAATTTTTAGTATAAGTATGTCCCAAATATTGCCCAGGACATATTTATACTACAAAAATTAACAATTTTTAGCATGTGTATTTAAAATGTTGCATGGGGCATACTTATACTAAAAATATATATTCTTCACTTACCTGAAGTTCAAATTCAACTGGTTATCTTGTATTTTCTCTGGCAACTCTACCAATGAATCATGTCTCCCACTAGTCACACTTTTTCATAGTCCCCGCCCATATTACCTCTGACCATGTGACATGCTTTGGCCAATGAGATATCAGCAAATACGACACAGGGAGAGGCTTGATAAATGCTTGTGCAAAGAAACTAGTCCTCTTGGAATGCTGCTGCCACCGTGTGAGGAAACTGGGTGTTGCCTCTTAGAGGATGAAAGACCCCATAGAGAGAGAAGTTCAGCTGGCCCAGCTGATCCAGCCCCAGCTGACCTTCCAGCTGAATGTAGCCACAGGAGCCCAGCCCAGCCACAGAAATACTCAAGACAGGAAACCCACAGAACCATGAGGAATCATATCATAAAGCATTGTTGTTTTAGGCCACCTCTGCTGCAACTACCTCAGCTGAGGCTCCATCAGCTCTTGCATCACCTCTCACCTGGATTGCTGCAATATCCTGCTGATTGATTCCTCTCTTTCTCCTCTTGTTTCCATTACCTACACTTTATATAGCAGCTAGAGTGAACTTTCAATAAGATTATACCATTCCCATGCTTAAAATCCTCCAACTGAGTTTTAGAGGTAATTTATTATGTAGCAATAGATAAATGATATAGTACACCTTATTATAATTCACTTAATGAAGATTTCCGGAGAACCCAGTATATGCTAAAATAGGTAGATGAGCTATAATTCCCCAAGTGCTGTGATTCACCTACATCAGAATCACCCACACTTTATTTGTTAAAAATCCACATTCATGGACCAGTCCTATTGAATCAGCGCTTTAGAGGTAGGACTGAGTAATTTGCATTTTTAACAAACCTCCCTGGGAATTTTTCATCTTCTTTGGAGTTTGAGGATTACTGTGTTAAAGAGACACAAAAATCTATAGACACTACTGTGCCCTCAAGCTATGCAATCTAGGGAAGGAGACGGAAGGGTACACAGGTACTTATAATACAAGGCAGAAGAAAATGACTGCCAAAAAAAAAAGAGGTAAAAGGAAAACCCCATAAGCCAAAAAGAAAGGTGAGATTAACTCTGAGGGGGAAATACTAGAAGCCTTTGCAGAAAAAAGACCTCAGAGCTAAACCTTATAGTCTGAGTATGCATCAGCTCAGGGTAATGGAAAAGTGCTGGACTAAGAGCTTGGCTTTCTGGGTTTGGGTCTCAGCTAATGATAGCCATCATTTAGAGTGCAACTACTCTTTGTAAGGTAATGCACTAGGCTCTCTAGAACCACTCTTTAGAATAACTCTTTACAACAACTCTGCAAGATAAGTACTATTGTCTTGCGTTTCAATAAGAAAAGAGGTTCAGAAAGGCTGGGTGTGGTGGTTCATGCCTGTAATCCCAGCACTTTGGGAGGCCAAGGTGGGTGGATCACAAGGCCAGGAGATCCAGACCATCCTGGCCAACATGGTGAAACCTCATCTCTACTAAAATACAAAAAAATTAGCCAGGCATGGTGGTACACACCTGTAGTCCCAGCTACTCAGGAGGCTGAGGCAAGGGAATCGCTTGAACCCGGGAGGCAGAGGTTGCAGTGAGCAGAGATCGTGCCACTGCACTCCAGCCTGGTGGCAGAGCAAGACTCCACCAAAAAAAAAAAGAGAAAGAAAAAGAAAAGAAAAGAAAAGAGGTTCAGAGAGAGGGTGTCACTTGCCAAAGGACACATAGCTAGGAGTTGCTTGAGCAAGGGTGTAGTGCCTATCTGTCTGACTCTATAGCCCAGGTACTTTCACTATGTCACACTGCTGACCTCAAGGAGCCAGCTCAGCCTTCTGGGCCTCCATTTTTTCATTTCTGGGATGGGACACAGTGCACAAGATGATTTCTGAGGCCCCATTATTGGAGCCAAATCAACTCTACTCTAGATAATAATTGTACTTGCTGGTGAAGGGTAAGTGGGTTCAGTAACTAGAAGAATGAACCTCAACCTTAAGGATTTGTTGGTATGTATCCAACCCAGAAAATGCCAGTCGAGAGCTACCTGTCTGTCACTTTCAAAAACTGTAGCTCTAAAGACCCTGCCTACCTCTTGTGAGAGAATGAGAATGAGGGGGAAAGGTATGATGGTGGGAGAGAGGCAGGCTACTGAATATTTGAGTAACTGAAGGAATGATTGAAAGGATAAAGAAGGTAATGAATGAATGACAGGGAAACAGAGGGTTGGGGAGCTCTGATAAAATGACCTCCAATTCCTCAGTCAAATTAAGAGGAAGGTCATCTGCTTGAGAGTTGGGGAAATACACACTCCAAAGACAAGCAGAGTTTTGCGAGTGTCCATGAAGGCAGGCAGTATGACAAGGTGTGCGCATCTACCTGTGCAGCAAGACCTACCTGTGCAGCTTTGGCTTTTGATGGTCCAGAAGGAAAGGTGGAGAAAATTAGAGGGACAGAGGAATCCCAGGAGAAGGTGAAGGGGTCACCTGAGCCCTAGCACAGTGATGGCAACCCCAGACCAGCTGCCTCGTAATAAAGGCTGAGTGTAGGGCATGTGACACTCCCTGCCCTATGTTCTGTCCAAAGTGGGTGAGAAGCCACTAATTGATGATGAGATAAACAGAGAGTTCAATGCAAAAGGTCAGTGAGGACATTAAGATGCCTGGGTAGTGAAGCATTGGGATCATGAGATTCTGAGTCTATGCAGGTTAATGTGATGGTCAAGGATATCAGCCCATGCTGAGAGCCCTCAATTCCATACCAAATTAAGTCAATTCAGATCACTTAATTATGTTCTGAAGTTTTCTCTCACTTTGAAGAGAATAAAAATACTTCAATTTTATTCTGATTTCTGAGAAAATTAGACTGTACATGTAAGCACTGCAAAAATTAAAAAGTGTTTTTAAAACGCAAGAGGTTGCTGTTGTTAACCAAGGAAATCTTCCAGAGGGGGAGTAAAGAAACAAGATTTACATGCCAAGCACCAGGCACTTTATAAACTATGTCACATCATGTAATTGGCACACTCTGAAAGATGTGTTCTTGTCTCCACTTTGCAGGTAAGGAAATTGAGCCCAAAGATCTCTAGCCAATAAGAAGCAGAGCCCTGTACAACGTCTGGCTGGGTGCTTCCCGGGCTGTGATTTGTGTGTCATTGCTTGATTTCCCTTTTCAGGGTGCAATCCAGAGAGTTCATCTCTTCAAATATTTGCTGTACTACAGCACATTTTCCATTGCGAAAAGCCATCCTATTGATTGAACCCAATTAATAGAATCCAATTAACAAGAATCCAATCTAGCATTTGACTTTTCAATAATGTTTAATACTACTACTTCCTTCTAGTTAAAAGGATATGAGTTGGAAAGAAGTATTAAATCTGAACAGGCCCCTAATTGAGGCTCTCTTCCAGTAGTAATAATGATCAATTTTATTTACATAGAATGTTATCTAAAAAATTCAAGGCATCACACATTGACTTGCATGTTTGAAACTGAACCTTTTATTTTCTCCCTACACCTCTCCCACCCTTGGCTCCCCTTACCAGTCTTCCTCGTCTCAGCTAACATCACTAGCATTTGTTCTACTGCCAGTTCCATGTTTAGGGGGCATCATTTTCTTTTCCCTCACTCTTTCCTTGTTTCCCATCCAACCCTGGGTCCCATACCCATTCATTTCTCCCATCCTCGCTGCCAGTGCCACACCCCACATCTTTCACTTATTCCTCTGCCCAGGCCTTCTTTCTAACTGGTCCTCCATTGCCAGTCTTAGCCTACTCTGATCATTCTCACACAGTAGCCTAAGCTATCTCCTTAAAACATAAACCAAAGTAAGTCAACTCCCTGCTTAGAATCCTCCAGTGATCTGGAGTTACGAGTCTTGTGCCAGTGTTAATTTGTAGGTTCTGATCAATGTGCCATGGTTAAGTAAGATATGAACATTAGTGGAAACTGGGGAAAGAGTATCGGAGAAATCGCTGTAGTATCTTTGCAACTCATCTGTAAATATAAAACTATTTCAAAAGAAAATTTTTTTTTGAGATGGAATCTCGCCCTGTCACCCAGGCTAGAGTACAATGGCTCAATCTCAACTCACTGCAACCTCCACCGACCAGGTTCAAGTGATTCTCCTGCCTCAGCCTCCCATGTAGCTGGGACTACAGGCACGTGCCACCATGCCCAGCTAATTTTTTGTATCTTTAGTAGAGACAGTTGGCCAGGCTGGTCTCGAATTCCTGACCTTGTGATCCACCCGCCAAAATTTTTAAAAATGTTTTTAGTCCTCCAATGCTCCAAAGATGTTCCTTTGACTTGGACTAGGACTGACTCCCTCCCACAGCCTGCCTTATCCATTGATATGAGTTCTTACCACCTTCTCCTTGCTCCCCAAACTCCATTCACTGTGGCTTCCTCTCAGTTCCTAGAAAACACCAGGCTTCAAAGTCCTTCCTTACCTAGAGGTTTATTCACATGCTATCTTTTTGTCTTAGTAACTTCTTTCTCTGTTTTTCATGTTCCTTCTTTTTGGTTCTCAGGTCTCAGTTTAAAAAGCCCCTGGTCAGAGAGGTCTCTCTGAGCCCCACTCCCCCATCTAAAGTGGTGGTTTCCTCTTGATCCCTGCAGACACAATTTGTAACTAGTTAGTGTGCTTACCTCTGTCTTGTGTCTTGCACCTCACTATGGGTTCCATGAAGGCAGAGACCTTACCTATCTCTCATCACCCTCTTATCCCTAATCTCTAGCACAGTGTCTGGACTGTGGAACATCCCTGAAATGATTCTCCTGTCTCCTCCCCACTGACCTGCAATGCGGTTTCTAGATGGGCATTTGGTGTCTTTAGTGTTCTCTATGTCTGACACTAGGATTTTCTTCATACGAGCCCAGCCCTTAGGGACCTGGAGAAACATGTCTTCATCAGGGTTATCATAGATATAGATACATTGTAGAATTTACCACCTATATTTTAGAAAATTGACTTCTTGAGCAAGGTTGATTTTTTTTTTTTTTTAATGAGAAAAAACCCTTCCTGCATACTGTCTGATTCTTGTCCTATTTTATGCCCTTCCTCAACACAGCCCATTAAAAGGAGCTGGAAAACACAATATTAAGAGATGAAAGAAATCAGCCTGCCACTGAGACCTTCGTCCCTAATTTAGGAAGCCGTGTCTCAGGGGACAGCCTTCCATCATCCCCTGAAAGCTTTTGATATCTTGTGACCTTTAGCTCAGCATTTTGGTGCTTGGATTTCTTCCCTTCCCCCGTATTCTAGTTCTATGGATCAGGCAATTATTGAAATTACAAGGATCCTGCATATCATGCATGGGAAGGGGACAGCCTTCAAAATACATCGTGGTTCAGTTTAGTGAATAAGAAAATGTGATACAAATAGCTGCCATTTATTGCACACTTTATTGAATGCAAGCACTGGGCAAAGTGTTTGCCTTATATTAGCTCATTTGATTCTTCACAATGATGTTGTCCCAACATCTAGGACGGGCATATCATAGGTGCTTGATAAATATTTACCTAATAACAAATGAATAATCCTCCAACTTAGGTATTGTGAATATTCTCATTTTATAAATGAGGATCCTGAGCCTTAGAAGTACCAAGTAATTTGTGAAACATGACACAAGCACAAACTAGGAAATCCAGATTGAATCTATCTCGAGTCTTTCCAGTTTTAACAGCTCATCATCACAGCCCTCCAAATTCAATTCCAAAACTCACTTTGGATACAGCCTCATAATATTGCCTGCTCCTAAAGGACTTAATACTCCCTCAAATCTAAGGACTATCATCCTCATACCCAGGACTTCTCTACTGATGTTCCAGGTGATTGCATCCACATTCTGTTTTAAATGAAAGAACAACCTCATCAAGAGACCTTTCTTCAAAGTAGCATTTGCCCTTTAAATTTGAAAGCCATCTGACACTGTATTTCTTTCATTAGTTCAGGGTTGCTAGATTTCCAGTCGCTTTTACAGCCAGTAGCTGTATAGGGAATACTCAGAGGTTAGGAAGTCCAGATCAGTTTAGCTGAGTAGCCCAATGGTAAAAACACTGGTTTGACTGGTGTTTTCACCAGACTGCTGGTCAGAAACCAGGAGAGCAGAGTCAGCTAGCCCTCCTACCTCACAAGGCATCCAGCCTTCACATAGGGAACAAGAAGCCACAGTGGGGGAAAACCTAGGCAAGGAGGTACATAAGAGAAGCATCTCTTAGAAAATAAAAAAACAATGATTGAAGTACTATTTATTGAGCAGGACAATCATGTAGGAATCCAATGGGAATGGTGCCCCTGGAGTTGTACAGTGCAGCAGACCACTGCACTAAACACCTTATGCAGTTTCTCTCAATTAATTATCACAACAAACTTTTGTATAAACAATATCATGAGGAGCAATTTCAATGAGGAAAGTGAGTCTCAGAGAGATCAAGCATCTTGCCCAAGGTTACACAGCTACTCTATGAGAGAATTTTACCAACTATTATGAAAATCAGCAAGAATATGGAAAAGGCCTGTGTAGTGGTGAAATGGACTAGTAACATGGTTTGGATCTGTGTCCCCATCCAATCTCATGTTGAATTGTAATCCCCAGTGTTAGAGGTGGGGCCTGGCGGAGGTGACTGAATTATGGAGGTAGATTTCTCATGGATGGTTTAGGACTATCCTTCTGGTACTGCCTTAAAATAATGAGTGAGTTCTTGCAAGATCTAATCATTTTAAAGTGTGTGGCACCTCCCACATCTCTGTCTCGCTCCTGCTCCTGCCACGTGAGATGCTTGCTCTCCCTTCACCTTCCATCATGACTGGAAGCTTCCTGAGTAGTCCTCAGAAGGAGATGCCTGTGTTTTGCTTCCTGTACAGCCACAGAACCGTGAGCCAATTAAACCTCTTTTCTTTTAAAATTAACTGGTCTCAGGTATTTCTTTATAGCAATGCAAGAATGGCCTAACACAACTGGGCTTTGGGAAACCTGGATTTTAGTTCGAGTTTGCGTCTCACTTGGAACTTGTTCATGGGCTGGTCTCTTCCCTGCTCTGAGCCTCAGTCTCCTCATCTGTAAAAGTAGGAGACTGAATCATACTGGGCAATTTTATGGGGGTTTACAGACTGTGGATAGCTGGTGCTTGAAAAACAGAAGAGGGGAACCTAGAACAAACAGAAAAAGAGGGAAGACATACAAGGATCACAGGAGGTAATATTTGACCTAGGGTTTAAAAGACAAGTAAAAAGCTGGGCACTGGCCAGGCATGGTGGTTCACGCCTGTAATCCCAGCACTTTGGGAGGCAGAGGTGGGTGGATCATGAGGTCAAGAGATACAGACCATGCTGGCTAACATGGTGAAACCCTGCCTGTATTAAAATTCAAAAATTAGCTGGGCATGGTGGCACACACCTGTAGTCCCAGCTACTCAGGAGGCTGAGGCAGGAGAATCGCTTGAACCCAAGAGGTGGAGGTTGCAGTGAGCCGAGATCACGCCACTGCACTCCAGACTGGTGACAGAGTGAGACTCCATCTGAAAAAAAAAAAAAAAAATGCTGGGCACCGTGGCTCATGCCTATAATCCCAAAACTTTGGGAAGCTGAGGCAGGAAAATCTCTTGAGCCCAGGTTTTCAAGACCAGTCTGGGTAACATTGGGTGACCCTGTCTCTACAAAAAATTTAAAAATAACATAAAATAATAAAAGACAAAACAAGAGTTTGTTGAATCAGATAAAAAGGGAGATTGGGATTTCAAGCACTGAGGAAAGAATATTCTAAGGGATAGAAGTAGTAAAGTGGTAAGCATAATGATGATGAATACTGGTGGCTCTGAGGTCAGAAAGGCTGAGACACAAATCCAGCTTCACATTTCCCAGCTGGAGAGTTATCTAGTTACCTGGTTATCTCAGTTCTCTCATCTGTAAAAACAGGGAAACAGTAGAAACTACTTTATGGGTATTGAGAATATCAAATGAGATTATCTACATAGTTCCTGGTCTAACATAAGCACCCAATATTAGTAGCCGCTTTTACTATTACTTCAATTGTTGTCATTAAAGCCTTGAGCAAATGGCACATTCAGGGAAGGGCAAGTGGGTTGTTGTAGCTGTCCATTCACCAATTCAGCAAACATTTATTGACAGCACATGTGTATCAGATATGTTCTGAATTAACAGGTGGTGGTAGGGATGGGAGGTAGGGACAGTGAAAGGAAATAAAGTTGGTGGAAGAGGTCATAGAGAGCCTACTATGCTAAAAATAGGAAATTACCATTATCTTGCAACTATGGTGAAGCCTAGAAGGATTTTAATCTAGGGAATGACATTGCAGAAGAGCAGGTTGACTCTTCTGCAGGTTTGACTATTGCAGTATAGTCAAACTGGAGTCAGGGCAATTAGTTAGAATGCAGTGTATGGTCAGGGGAACTGAGATGCTGCCCTGACTTGGGGTAAATTTGGGAGCTGTAGGTGGGGGCAGTGGTGATTGAGATGAGACGGTAGATGCAAAATATATTAAAGAGGTGGGAACTACAATATCAAACATATTAATTGATAGGATGTTGGAGACGGAAAGAAAAGAATTTAGGATGTGAATGTATAGATGAATGAATGGATGGATGAATGGTAGGTTTAGATGTGAAGCATCTCCGTTGCTTCAAAGTATTTTTCATATCCCATGAAGAGGCATTTTTCAACCCCTCAATATTCTCCCAAGTAAGTGACCCCAATTTTACAACCAAGGATATTTGTAGTACACATAATCTAAAATACTTTGCGTTTCAAAATTATGCTTCCATTATTTCATATGTCAGCATCTGAAAAGCCCTGTGGGTTGCATTTTGAGAAAAGGATGGTCCACTGCAATGGAAGATGAAAAACCTCCACCTCTGCAGCCTATTAACTGGGAGGGCCTTGGGTGGATTGCTTCTCTTCTCTGCCTCTCTGATGGTGTTTGTTTGTTTGTTTTGTTTGTTTGTTTTTAATCTATGAAATGAAGTAATTTAGTTAGATGTTCTGGGAATTTCTACCCAGCCCTAACATTTCCTATGTAGAATTAGATGTCTTTATGGTATCTGGAACACCAGAAAGTGTGTTTTATTAAATTTATTTACATTAATAAATATGTCAAACATTTAGCTAGGTGTATCTTCTAATTAGGATAACTTTCTCTTTAAATGCAATACCTTATTTCAGTTGCTAGATTGCCCAGATTTGAACTTGCCCTGGAAATCACTAGCTGTAGAACCTTAAGCCAGTAACGTAGCCTTACTCCATGAATCTATTATTTTTCAGAAGATATTTGCAAGAATAAAGAAATGTGTCTCTATTAAAGGTTATAAAACAGGAAAGCTACTGGGTTAGGCTTCAGTTCAATTCTCTCTCTTCAACCTGCTCTTCTGCTCCTATAGCTAGAAAGACTTTGTCTTCAGTTATATTACTAAAATTAGATAAAAAGAATGCCTACATTTTCCCAGCATTACATTCCACCTGGAAACCTGAGGTTGGTTTGGTAGGTACACCAAACCTAGCAGGCACTGTCCCTTAGTATTTCACTCTACCCACAGCTGGACTCCAGAAAGCTTGGAACTTTATCCTACCATAACCTGAAATAATGATCACTGCATACTTTACAAACATATTTGCATGGCAAATTTGATTCATTAGAAAAACTTTCAATCACCATAGATGGCAGAGTGGCAGAGCCCAATCTTCAACATATTTTCTTTTTCACAAATCATTCTTCCTCACCTGTCATGTCACCTGAAAGTCCACTATAAACATCTGTTTTAAACAAGTCCTACTATAAACCTTAACTTTTTGCCAGCTAATGCCTGATTACTTTCCAAATCCACAAGAATGATAAACAGACACAAAAATGAATCTTGCTGTGAATTGATCAATTATAGGGAAAGGAGCCAATCAAAGGCAATTCCTACTATGGCACAGTTTTCCCAGGGGTTCAGACCAGGCTGAGAAGTGCAGAGAATTGTGCGCACAAACTTGAACTTCACTCTAGAGGTTTTGCTCATCAGAACTTAAATGACTGCAGAAACACAATGCCAAACGAACTCAATAATTAATGTATAAAAATGTCCAAAGACTAAGAATCTGGAATCAGCCATGTGAATCAAAGTCCTTTTTTGTTTCCTTCCAGTTGCCAAGCAATTTCCATGATAATAATGGCAGCCAAAATATAGCACCAACATGGTGTCAGGTATTAAATGTCTCTTCAGGTGCTGAACATTTGCACTGAATACACTGAGATAAAGCAGCAAATAGATCTTCCTCATCACCTTCTCCAAACTTTAACAGACTGAAAAAGAAAGAATATTTTCTATAAAAACTCACTCAGGCTATGGCTTATTAGCCCTTTGTGTCCTGGAAGCTAGAGAGGCACACAACAGTCTTTCAAAGCACAGTGAGGGTGGGTTGGCTGGAAACACTAGCTTGATTAGGGTTAAACTTCAACATAAGAAATAATATTTATCTCCAAGTGTGGGGCAAAATACATCTGAGATGGGTTTGGGAGGCCGCCTTTCTTCAAAAATCACCAGTACATACTTCCTACAAAAAGGAATTATCTGCCTCATATCTTAAGGAGTTTCATCTGAATGTTCATTACTTTGGAATTTGGGAAGATGAGAAGGGTTTTAAAGACACAGGATCTAATTCTGTTGGCGAGGAATTTTGACTACATTTCTGTGACTGCAAACTATGAGTCATTCGGATGAATGCTTTCTTCTGACTCAGATATCTCCTCAACCTTCACACCTTCTTCACAAACCTGGTTCCATGTGATGTGAAACCCAATAGCAAATCTACCAGGAGCTACTGCTGAAGAGGTTAATGAAAATGCCTATTCCAATAGACATGAACTGAAACTTCAGAGAGAAAATCGTGTCACCATTAATAGTTTCTGCTTTGGGTTCTCAGTTAGTAGTTCTATGAATTTGGGCAAATGAGTTGGCCTTTCAGAGGCTTATTTTTCTCATCTGAATAATGGAAATCAGAATATTCTCCCTGAAGGGCAAACATAAGTCTCAAATACCCTGATGTCTAGAAAGCACTCAGCGTGGTGCCTCGCATCTTATTAAGTGCACAATGTGCATAAAGTACTGTTGTGAGTGAACAGTGAAGAACAGAAAGAATAAAGTAGAATTCAGAAAATGGGCATGGCACCAGCTCTGCAGTCCTCTAGACTAGATACAGCCCGAGGCTGTGAACACCCCACCCAAAGTGAAAGAGAGAAAAGGAGAGTAGTTTTCTTTCTTCTTTTTTTTTGAGACGGAGTCTTGCTCTGTCACCAGGCTGGAGTGCAGTGGCGCAATCTCTCCTCACTGCAACCTCTGCCTCCCGGGATTCAAGCGATTCTCCTCCCTCAGCCTCCTGAGTAGCTGGGACTACAGGCGCGTGCCACCACACTCAGCTAACTTTTGTATTTTTAGTAGAGACAGTGTTTCATCATGTTGGCCATGATGGTCTCAATCTCTTGACCTCGTGATCCATCCACCTCAGCCTCCCAAAGTGCTGGGATTACAGGCGTGAATCACCACACCTGGCCAGGAGAGTGGTTTTCTATTGGAACTTCATGAGCTTGAGAACAAGACCCCCACTTTCCTATCTCTGTACCGTTAATGCCTTGTGCAGGGCTTGGCACATGGCAAATGCTGAATGAATGAATGAATGAATGAATTGAATTGAATGAATAAATGAATGAATGAGCCAGTCAAAAAATCAATGGCATTAAAACCGTGGTGATGATGATGATATTATTTAGTAAACACTATACATTTATTTAGTAAACACATACATAGTGTTGACTATATATGTGTCTAAAACATATATAGTGTTTACCAAATGCCAGATACCCATAGCAAGCACTTTAAATAGATCAGCTCATTTAATCTTCACATCAGCTCTGTGAAAAATATCTTACTATTATTCTTATCTTAGAGAAGATGAAACTGAGACACAGAGGTGGATATTAATCTTTCCAAGATCACAAAGCTAATAAGTAGCAGAGCTAGGATTTAAATCCAGGCAGCCTGGCTCTTGATTCCATGCGCTTAAATCTAAATGTTCCCAACCTTGAAAAAGAAATTTACTAATTTTTTTAAAAATCACTTAATTCTGACTTTGGAAAAATGGTAATGTTCAGAATGTTAATCTTTTGGTTTACTTCCTTCTAGGCTTTTTTCTGTCCTTATTTAAGCAGGTGCGAGGATGGCTTACAAATTCATATCCTGCTTTTAAATGGATTGGTTACATAATTAACTCTGCCACAAATCTCTTTGTAAAGAATTCGTACAGAGTAAAGACTAAAAGTACATTTATTACTGCTAGCAGTAGTGCCCAACCCAAAAGCTGGAGTTCTTCTCGGACCTTTTGTAAAAGGGTCTGTGATAGCACTTTTCTCTCAGAATTTGAATCTGGACTATGGAAGCTGATGATGTTTAATTGGTACCTACACCCTGATTTTATATGCTCAAGACCATTCCACTGCTCCCATCTCTGCACGACTGCCCTCCACAATCTGCTCAATGCCTCCTTCTCCCACTCCCCTCCCCATCTCCCAGGCAGGGGTCTATGTGGACAACTGCTACTGAGCATAGCAGGGTATAGTAAATAGTTGTTTTTTTCTTTGAGTTCTTGTTAGTTTATTCCTCTGGGGCCTGTGAGTTACAATTTACAGAAAGTGAGTCTGTACTTCTCAATAGCTGTTCATAAAGTATTACAGCTGAATCCGTGCATCCTTTGCCCATTGCTTCTATCCAAACGCAGCATTTCTTAAGCCTACAAAACATAGTGAAAGTAATATATCAAGGTACACAAGTTGGAGGCCTTTATTTTCTTCCTGATATTGGCCTGCAATACACAAGAAAGTCCCCTCATTCTAAACATTACTTCACCTAGGAATATATGGGCCAAGACAGTGATTCCAAACTTAGCTGATTGGTAGTATCACCTTGGTACTTTAATTTAAACACAAATTCCTGAATTTTCCCCTTCCCTACTGGATTACTGAATTGGACTTTCCAAAGATGGGACCCAAGATGTTATGTTTTGTTTGTGTTTTTGTTTTGAGAAAGAGTCTCACTCCATCACACAGGCTGGAATGCAGTGGTGCAATCTTGGCTCACTGCAACCTCTGCCTCCCAGGTTCAAGCGATTCTCGTACCTCAGCCGAGTAGCTGGAATTACAGGTATGTGCCACCACACATGGCTAATTTTTGTATTTTTAGTAGAAACGGAGTATCACCGTGTTGGCCAGGCTGGTCTCGAACTCCTGACCTCAAGTGATCCACCTGCCTTGGCAACCCAAAGTGCTGGGATTACAGGCATGAACCACCACACCCCACTCAAGATGTTATGTTTTCAAAACGGTTTTATATCTGACGGTCAGTCATGATGGGAACCACTGACCTAAAGCAAAGTTTAGTAAAAAATATTGGGGAACTGAATTTCAACTGAAATGTTAGCGTTAGACACAGCAACTAGCAATCAAGATATAATTCAACAATGAAAAGAGAAAAAACCCAGTTAAAAATTGGCAAAGGACCTGAATAAACATGTCTCCAAAGAAAATATACAAATGGTGACAATAAATCCATGAAAAGATCTCAACGTCATTAGCAACCAAGGAATTGCAAATTAAAACATAACAAGATAGCCATTAGGATGGCTATAATCAAGAATACAAATAATAACAAGTATTGGTGAGGATGTGAATAAATTAGAACCTTCATATACTGCTGGTTGGAATGAACTATGGTACAGCCACTCTGGAATATAATGTGACTGTTCTTCAAAAGATTAAACATGGAGTTACAATATGACTGAACAATTCCACTCCTAGGTACATATACGAGAGAAATGAAAATGTATGTTCACAAAAAAACTTGTACACAAATGATCACGGCAGCATTAATCATAATAGCCAAAAAGTGAAAGCAACACAAATATTCAAGTGAATAGTGAAAAAATAAAACATGCTATATCCACATTATGAAATAGTATTCAGTAATGAAAATAAGTGAGTACTGATAGATGCCACAACATGGATGAACATAGCTAAGTATAAGAAGCCAATCACAAAAGATGACATATTGCATGATTCCATTTATATGCTATTTCCATGTAGGCAAATCTATAGAGAAGAAAATAGATTAGTGTTTGCCTAGGGCTGAGGGAGAAGGTTATGAGAAGTGGGGAGTGATTGCTAATGGGTATGGGGTTTTGTGGGGGAGGGCTATAAAATGGCCTAAAATTGATTGTGATGATGGTTGCACAACTGTGAATATGCTAAAAACTATTGAATTATACGCTTAAAATAGATGAATTGTATGGCATGTGAATTATATTTCAATAAAGCTGTTAAAAAAACAGTCAAGACAACAGCTGGCTCAATCAGACAGTTGTTATGATTTCATCATTAAGATGGTCAGACACACCAATCAGACAATTTTGATTCAGCCTTTTCTATTGTCTAGATATGCTAATCATCCTAAAATACAATGTCCTAAAATGCTCAGCATTTATTTAGCTCATAAATTTGTGGGTTTACAGAGTGGTGTTCCTGGGCTGGGCTGGGCTGGGCTGGACTGAACTGGGCTGATCTTGGCTAGGCTGGCTCATGTATCTGCAGTCAGCTGGCCAGTGGCTGAGTGTTGGCTGGTCTAGGATGGTATGATTTGAAGTGATTCACCTTCACCTCACATGATTTTTCCTTTAATGCATTACTCTGATTTTGCTCACTTAGAGATGATGGGGTTCTAAGAAAACAAATGGAAGCCTGCCAGACTGCTTCAGCCCTAAGCTGAAACTGGAAATTGGCACGCAGTCACTTCTACCCATTCAACAGGCCAAAGCAGGTCATAAAGCCAGCCAAGGTTCAAGGGCAGGGGTGAGAAGCCTGCTGAATGAAATCACATTGCAAACGGCAAGGATAGAGGAAGGTATAAAGAATTAAAGCGATTTTTACAATCAGCCAGCCTATCACATAGTCTTGAGGGCAGTAAGTCTAGCTTTTAATTTCACATTAACCACTCATCTTGCAGGTAGCTTTGGGCACATTTATTGCTTCTTCTTGCAAAAGAGATAAGGCACACTTGACCTTCAATCAGATATCTTAGTTGAAATTCGATTTAAAACTTCTTTAGGCTACTTATTTCAAAAAAATGTGAGGTTAAATACAAAGAGAGCATTCCATACTTATTAGCAGGAAGTGTTTTATGATCCATGGGTATAAATAAGGTGGAGTTCAAACTATCACATACTAAAGAGACCAGACATTTCTCAGAATTAAAAATCTATTTAGGTAATACCTGACTTGGAATGAAAGCAGAATACAGGAAATTTTTATATATCCAGTGTGATTCACCCATTCAATTCATTACAATCCTGTATAAGACACTAGGGGTACAGGATAAAAAAGACCCTACTCATTACTTCTAGGAGCAGGTTGAGATAAGAATAGAGAAAAAGAGCTATAGCCTAGAATCCAGATTATGAGAATTTCAAGAAGGATGGAGAGTCAGCAGCAGCAAATGCATCTGAGAAGACCATCAGAGTGACAATGCAAAGGATGCATTGAATTTTGCAGAGCTCCTTCATTCTATGAATGTTAGCTAAATTATGGACATGGTTAGGCTTTGTGTCCCCATCCAAATCTCATCTTGAATTGTAGTTCCCATAAGCCCCACGTGTTATGGGAGGGACCCAGTGGGAGATAATTAATCATGGGCGCGGGGTACTCTCATGCTGTTCTCGTGATAGTGAGTTCTCACGAGATCTGATGGTTTTACAAGGGGCTTTTCCCTCTTCTGCTTGGCACTGCCAGAAGGACATGTTTGCTTCCCCTTATGCCATGATTGTAAGTTTCCTGAGGCTTCCACAGCCATGGTGAACTGTGAGGCAGTTAAACTTCTTTCCTTTATAAATTATCCAGTCTTGGGCATGTCTTTATTAGCAGCATGAGAACAGATTGATATGGTTACAATATGCTACAACCTGTGTGGAATTCTGATACACAGAATTAATAAGGCTCCCTGGCCTCACAGAGCAGAAAGTCTAGTGGGAGAGAACCGACATCAAAGACAATATCATGTGAAAAATGTTTACATGTACGTGATTGGTCTCCTTGCAAAGTACACGTTCAGTGAAAAGATAAAACAAAAGAAAGACCACTGCAGGTTGGGTAATGAGTGAGAGATAAAGACAAATCATAGCAATCAAAGAGAAGAAAAAAATCACCTTCCTCAAGGAGCAGCTTGAGGAAAATGCTGAGTTCCAGAAAAATTTTTGCTTTCTTTTAATCTTTGTAAGGAGTTTTTGCTTTCTTTTTATTTTCGTAAGGCGATCACCAAAGTACTTTTGGAGGCTAACCAAAGGAGCCACTAGAAATGAAGAGCTTGAAAATAGAAGAAAACAAGAAATATCATTGTCTCCTGAAAGGAAATCGGAACCAGGACACAGAGGATGGTTTATTTTGGAAAGGAGCGGGGACTACCTCTTCCTCAGAAGTGGTACGGAAAGCAGTAGACTTGGGCAAGTGCCCACATTTTTCCACTAAATATCTGAACACAAAGCAGTTTGTGTCATTTGGGGTCCAAGATAGGCAATCTAGGGACATTTGTATTCAGTTCAAAAATATTAGCATTTCGAAGGATTTCTAAGGTTTACTGGGAAAATAGGAAAGAATAATTAAAAATGAGAGTTTCCAGGAAAGCTGTGACACGTGCTTACTTAGAAATCTTCTTTGGAGATGGATGTGAGAGAAATTGAACAAAATTATGCTGGCATGTCTTCGTTTTCTTAGTGGGGTTGGAGTGAGGTCATCCACTGAGAGTGAGCAGGGTAGGCTGAAGCACAGGACATTATGGAGAGAGGCAATAAGTCTGAGCAATTGACACAAAGATGGGAAAGGGCACTAACCAGGAGTCAGCTCCCAAATAATTGGAAACTACTGCCAAGGGATTTATGTATTTTGGGAGAGACGCTGAAGAGGTCATGCTGGTTTATGGGAAGCCTAATTAGGAAAGTTAATCAAATGCAAAATTATCCCAATGAATTCTATGCATTGCAAAGCCAAAAAGTGATGATTCGAGGGTTGCCTGCTGTTTTAGATTTGTATGCTGCCAACTCTCCTCTGTTACTGCAGATAATTGTGCTGGCTCCATAAAGTGTCTTTCTATAAACACGTGCAGGGCGTGTCACACTTTTATGGGTGCTGGTTTTCTCTAAGCAAGCTCATTGCTTTTAAAACAGTAGTAGTATTTGCGGTGGCGCTTGGAAAAAGGACAGAACAGCCAGACACGAAGCCATCACAGCCTTCAACAGTGCGTGAGTGATAAAGGGTGACATCCTAATTCCTGAAAGTATGTACCATCTATCCCCAAAATATCAGCTCTGACGCCTCTTATTAAAATGTACCTTCTTGTTTGCTAGAAGCACAAATGGGTGAGGGAGAGAGCTGACATTTTTATATTTTTCTTTCATACCAGTGCAATTGAAAATAACTGCGCTGAGAAAGAATTACAACTACATTTAGTCATAATCTTGATGTAGTGAAAAAATCATTCCAGCACAGGTTTTGGAGTCAAACAGCTCTAGACTAGAAAACTGGCTCTGTTATCTGGGATCTGTTGAGTTCTCTAAGCTTCAGTTTTGTTTTCTGTATTATTGGGCTAACTATATGTACATAAATATGTGTAAATAGAAAGATAGATGGTTGATAGAGATACGTAGACAGGTAAATAATAGAGAGTAATGATAATGATTGTGATGATGATGATGGTGAAGATGAAGGGATGGAGAGAGGGAGAGGCAGTGAGAAGGAGGCAGGAGGAAAAAAGGGAGAGAGGAAGGAAAGAAGGAAAATGGACATGTTATTCATGATATGCGGGTTAAGAGCACAGGCTCTGGAGTTTGACTGCCTAAATTAAATTCAGGCAAGATGTTTCAGTTACTAGCTGTAGGACCCTGGGCAAGGTGTTCCTTATAGGAATGACTGTGGGGATTAAATTTAATAATCCTATAAAATCGCTGGCACATAACTGTATTAATAACCAATAGTTATTACACAACTACTCCATGTCGGTTACCCAACTAAGCAATCTATGTGCATTAACCTACCTAACTCTCCCATCGTTGCCATGAGGAAGATGTTATCCCTATTTTCAGATGAGATCATGAGGTTTCCAGCAGCCATATACAGCCAGGAGATCCATGCATTGCACAACTCCAGGACTGCCATTCACAAGGACTATATAGGGCTGGGATTTTATGGAAATTTAATAACTTGCTCAAGGTTACATGTAAATCAAAAAGTAGATGAATTACTTAAATTTAGGTGATGTGTATATCTGACACCTAAATATGGGCTTTTAACCCCAGACACATTCTCCCATAAGTATTTATTGTGTTACCCAAATTAGGCTGGTTGAAAAATCAATTAAGTGTTCAGAGAGTTAGAGAAGGAAAAGAAAAACTCTTGAAAAGATTAACTTGACATGTCTCCATCTCTTCTCTGTCCCCTCAGTATCAGGCACTGCACAAATTCCATTAGCAAGCCTATGAAGCCAGTTTACATGGGATTTAAAATTCTTTTGCACATAAACTCTGGTTATTCCCTAATCTTGATTAACTGGGTGTGACATGTTCTTTCCTAATCCATCTGCAAATGCCCCTTATTTTCCAACCAGTGTGCCATCAGCCACTCTTGACTCTTTGTCCATTAGTGTTTACAGAGGAAACAATAGCCAATTCAACCTAGCCCTAGGAAATCTTAATTAGGAAGTCAGTATGCTGTGCTCTTCCTCCCTGCTCTGAAAAATTTCATTGCTGAAGGCCTGGCCTCAGCACAAAGTCAAGAGAATGAAGACACCCATCAACATTTAGATAACCAGACCTGGAATTGACACCGACAGCACCACGTGCAGGTTCTGCCTCACCAGAAGTTGTCAGCATCCTACCTTTGCCTGCTCTTCTTTCATGATTTTAGCCCACTCTTCTCCTCATCTCCAGATTGGGCTCAAATCTAGCAAGTAAGAACACCATGAGCAAAACAGTTGAGGAACCCCTCTGTCCATGGTTCTGAAAAATTAATGCCTTGAAAGTGTCTTCCTTCCTTTCTTTTAATACAGTGACTTTTGTCCAGTGACTGGGAGGAATGAAGAACCAAGTGAGAGAAGAAGTGAATGGAGGGTGGGGGCATGAGAGACAGAGACAGACAGAGAGATAGAGACAGAGACAGAAGCTGTTAGGTGGTAGGGAGGAAGCAGACTATAACAACTAAAGAACACAAATTGTCAGGGAGAAAAACAGAATTCTAACATCACTTAAAAATAACTAAGTTCCTAAGAAATATTCTTCATTCTCAGAAGTTAGGGGACAATATAGAGCATATAATTTATAATCAGATACATACACAAATATATGAGGCACCCTTCTCACTACTCTGAGTGAGGCCATAAATCCTTTGAGGGTACCCAGTATCAGCATATGCACACCCAATGCCTACCGTTGAAGTCTCAAAGCATCTTCACAACGTCCAAAGCACCTAGGTTAGATCTATTCATTTACTTGCAGACCTTCTCTGTATACTAAGCCTCTTTTAATACAGTGACTCCTGTCCAGTTGCTGGGAGGAATGCAGAATCAAGTGAGAGAAGAAGTGAATGGATAAGGGGGGTATTCAAGAGACATACGCTTCTTGAAGTGAGTGCTCTCTTTGTCTTTCTTCTCTCATGACCTAACAGATTACCAATTACATATTAGAAATTCAATATATTTGTGCCAAATGAATGAATTCAAATTAGGACAAGCAAATAAGGAACTACAAAACAAAAAGACAACTGTCTTAATTGTGTATACAGGACAGAGTACAGTGGGGACATAAGAGGAAGAGTCTGCCTGGGACAATAGGGTAAGCATCATCAGTTAGGTCATGGTTAGGCTAGTACTTGAGGGATGAGTTGGACAGGCTGACTAATGTGTGTGGATGTTCCAGGAAAGCATGCACAAAAAGACAGTGATGCGGAAAAGCATGATTCCCTAAGGAAACTATAAGTGGTTTGATATTGGTGGAGGATTAAACATGAGGGAAGGAGAAGAGAGTGATAGTGGACAGAATGGCAGTGGCATGTGGAATAGCAGAGTGGAAATTTATCTTAAATAATTTGGCTACATGGATCCAGAGCTCAGAAGAGAGGTCTGATCTGAAGATATAGACTTGAGATTTATCAGCAAATATAGGGTATGGATGAGTTTATCAAAGGAAATTATGTACTAAGAAGAGATGTCTACCATGAACAGAGCCTGTGAAGCATGCCAGCTTTTAGGAACAAGGCATATGACCATAATGCCAGAATGAGGATGAAAAACATAGCCAGAGGTGGGAAGAATCCCAGGAGAGAGCACTTTCAGGGAAATATGTGGCCTTCAAAGGTGGGTGCACATGCCCCTGGGGATGAAGTCTTTTCAAGAAACGTTTGGACAGGCATAGTTTTCAAGAAATCAATGTCCTGACATTCAACTTCCAAATGTATTCTTTCCTAAAACTGATGTGCCTGAACAGGCTCCTGCAGAGGCCCTCTGTTTCCATGTTCTCTTTCAATCACCTTCTTTGACTTTAAAAGAAAGACATGCCCTTTATTCATCTTGAATTGTACCATGGTGTCTTGTCTAGAGATATGAAAACTTACCAGGCACTAATGGGCCTGGATGAAATACTGGAGTCTGGAAAGCCACACTAAATCACAGGGCTCCACAGGACTGCCTTGCTTTGCCTGTCCTGTAAACATTTCCGACAAGGGCAAAGCTTAATGTTAGAAATCAATACTTTGACCTATGCCTAACAATATTTACCTAAGAATGTGAAATATCCTGTTAACCAAAAATAAATTACTCTTGCATATTTTTAATATATGATGGTGAGTTTCTAATTGCTTATAGATACATTTAAGCACAATATGGCAGTTTTATTTTAAAATGTTACTATTTATAATTCACAGAAAATTTCTTCCTTGGCAACTATTTAAACTTAAGATACACATTGTAGGTGTCAATTCAAAACCTTTTGGGGGACATATTATTGTCCGCAATTATTTTTAGGTTTCATAAGTAAAAATATTCAAAGACTACTACTAAACCAAAAAAAAGGAGATACAATAAAGGAAAAAGCTGAAGGTGCAAAACTTTTATTTTTTTTAGGTTTAGTTTTAAGTAACTGCCACTCTCCAGCTGTGACAGCAAGCTTGTTCCTGGTCTGGAGATAACCCACAGGAAAGCACCAGAGGTGGACAATGCTGCATAGAAGCCCAACATGGAGGATAGGCACAAAGCATGGGCCTCTTCATGTGGATGTAACTTCTTCTTAAAGCACAGAATTTACACTCTTCACCTTCACCTCCTCCCTCTAGCCCTCTCTTCCAGGTTCTAGACTGTTGGATGCTGCTCTATAAGGCAGGAAAATATCAAGAAGGAGGAGATTATTTAAAAAGTTTCCTTCACTTACACACTAACTAACACGTAATTAGCAATAGCCTCTACTCCAGGCATGTTTTGAGTGGTGAGGAAGGCTTCTGTGTAAAAGTTCCATTTGAACTGAGACCTAAATGAAACCAAGGAACTAGTGATTGGAAGATCCAGGAAAGAGCATTTCAGACAGGGTGGACAGCAGGAACAAAGGTCCCAAAGGTGGAATTAACTTTAACATCTTTGATGAAGAGAAAGAGGACCAGCATGGCCAAAATAGAGTGAGTATTAAATAAGGTATGAAAATAAGTTAGAAAGGTAGAAAGGCACCAGACCATGCAGTGTCATGACAAGGAATTTGCATTAATTCTAAGTGTTAAAAGAAGTCATTTGAGATTTTCATCTAGGGGACATAATCTTTTGGGTCACATTTTTAAAAGACCATTCTGATGCCAATGTGAAGATTATAAAAACTCTGGGTAATCACAATGGGTTACACCCATGAGCAGAAGAAAGAGAGAGATGCATGCACACACAATTATTTTCTCTCCCTTGTAACTCCATTAAAAATATAATTAACATGGTTCCTGACTTTTTAATGATCACCATTCTAACTGGCATGAGAAGGTATCTCATTGTGGATTTTATTTGCATTTCTCTAACGACCAGTGATGATGAGCTTTTTTTCATATGTTTGTTGGCTGCATAAATGTCTTCTTTTGAGAAGTGTCTGTTCATATCCTTCGCCTACTTTTGATGGGGTGGTTTTTTTTTTTCTTGTAAGTCAGTTTAAGTTATTTGTAGATTCTGAATATTAGCACTTTGTCAGATGGATAGATTGTAAAATTTTTTCCCATTCTGTAGGTTGCCTGTTCATTCTGATGATAGTTTCTTTTGCTGTGCAGAAGCTCTTTAGTTTAAGTTTTAAGGTATACACCCAAAATAATGAAAATAAGGGCACAAAAAAATTCTCAAAGTTGGAAGTCATATGAACAAGTGGTAAATGACTTAGCAGATTCTTCTGCTGGAAGTATGGAAAACAGCAACCAACTTGACTTAGATAATAGAATACTCAGAAAGCTCAGAAATCGGTGCCATTAGATACTTTACAAGCAGGAGAAAAGAATATCAAAGTAAGAAAGATTGTGAAAAATTGTCTTAAGTTCACAGATATACAGATCACCTTTCTCTTGACACAAAGTTAAGTAATTGGTCTCCACTTTGAACAAGATTTGTTTTTGAAAAGGTTTGTTTCTCTGGAGAGGGTAAAATGAAGGAAGATCTTTGATAACCAACGAGTCAGTGAAGAAATTAAAAGGGAAATTTAAAAATATCTTGAGACAAATTAAAATGGAAACACAACATAATAAAACCTTTGGGAAGCAGCAAAAGAAGTTGTAAGAGAAAAGTTTTGGGTAATATATGGCAATATTATGAAAAAAAAGAAGAAAAATCTCGACAATCTGAAATTACTTCTCAAGGAACTAGGAAAAGAACAAAATAAACCCAAAGTTAGCAGAATAAATGAAATGAAAAAGATCAAAGCAGAAATAAATAAACTAGAGAATAGAAAAACTATAGCAAAAAAATCAACAACATTAAGAGTTATTTTTTAAACAAATTAAACAAAATCAACAAGCTCTTAAATGAATTAACTAGGAAAAAAGAGAAATGATTCAAAAAATAAAATCAGAGATGAAAGTGGGGACATTACAATAGACACATCAAAAAACAAAAAGGATAATAAGAGACTATTATGAACAACTATATGCCAAAAACTGGATAACCTAGAAGAAATAAATTCCTAGAAAGAAACAATCTACCAAGACTGAATAAGAAGAAATAAAAAGCCTGAACAGATTAATAACAAATGAAAAATTGAAGTAGTAATTTAAAACCTTTCAACAAAAAAAAGGTCAGACCAGACAATTTCACAGCTGAGTTCTACCATTTAAAGAAGAATTGATATGAATTCTTCTTAAACTATTCCAAAAATAGAACTAGAGAGAATACTTCCAAACTGATACCAAAGCCAGACAAAGATACTACAACAAAAGAAAACTGTAGGCCAATATCTGTAATGAACATACATGCAAAAATCCTCAATAAAATACTAGCAACTGAACTTAACAACGCATCAAAAAAAATATACATCATGACCCAGTGGGTTTTATCCCTGGAATGCAAGGTTAATTTAACATACATGAATCAATTAATATGATACACCACATTAACAGAATAAAAAATTTAAAAACACATGATCATTTAAATAGATGCATAAAAACACTTGAGAGAGTTCCACATCCTTTCCAAGATAACAATTCTCAACAAATAAGGTATAGAAGGAAATTTTCTCAACAAATTAAAAGCTATTATGAAAAGCCCACAGCTAACATCAAAATCAATGGGGGAAAATTAAAAGCTCTTCCTCTAAGATCTGGTGCAAAGACAAGGAGGCCCACTATCTCTGCTTTTATTCTACACAATCCTGTAATTACTAACAAGAGCAATCAAACAAAGAAAAGAAAGACATCAAAATCAGAAAGGAAGAGGTAAAACTATCCATATTTGCAGATGACTTGATCCTATATGTAGAAAAACCCTAAAGACTACACACATACACACATATACACACAACACACATACAACTGTTAGAACTAATAAACAAATTCAATAAAGTTGCAGGATAAAAAATCAACATACAAAAATCAGTTGCATTTCTGTGTATCAGTGTCCTGTCTGAAAAAATTTTTAAAAATCCCATTAATGATAGCATCAAAAATGAAATACTTAGTAATAAATTCAGTGAAGCTAAAAGATCTGTACACTACATAACTAAGATACTGATGAAAGAAATTGAAGAAGACACAAATAAATTAAAAGATAACCGATGTTCATGGATTGGAAGAATCAATCTTGTTAAAAATATTTAAAATTCCAAAGTGATGTACAGATTCAACTCGGTCCCTATCAAAATTCCAGTGGCATTTTTCATAGAAATAGAAAAAAATTCTAAGATGTTAAGGAACCACAAAAGATCCTGAATAGCCAAAGCAGTTCTGAGAAAGAAAATCAAAATTGGAGGCATCACACTACCTGATTTCAAATTATATTACAAAATTATCATAATCGAAACAGTATGGTACTGGCATAAAAACTGACACATAGACTAATGGAAAAGAATAAAGAGTCCAAAAATAAATCCATAAATTTATGGTGAATTGATTTTAGACAAAGATATCAAGAACACACAATGAGGAAAAGAATGTCTCTTTAATAAGTAGTTTCGGGGAAACTGGATATCCACAAATAAAAGAATAAATTTGGACTCTTATCTTAAACCATATACAAAAATCAACTCACAATGGATTAAAGACCTAAATATAGGACCTAATATTATAAAATTCCTAGAAGACAACATAGGGAGGAATCTCCTTGACATTGGTCTTAGCAATGATTCTTTGGATAGGACACAAAAAGTACAGGCAGCAAAAGCAAAAGATAAACAGATGGGACTACAACAAACTAAAAAGCTTCTATACAACAAAAGAAGCAATCAACAAAGTGAAAAGGCAAAATGAGTTGGGAGAAAGTATCTGTA
The DNA here is from genome assembly GCF_000001405.40 of Homo sapiens. Lineage (NCBI taxonomy): Eukaryota > Metazoa > Chordata > Mammalia > Primates > Hominidae > Homo > Homo sapiens. The sequence goes on along the minus strand of NC_000022.11, from coordinate 34,031,135 downwards.
AACCACGCTTCTGACAAAGGGTTAATTTCTCAAATATATGAGGAACTCACACAATTCAATAGCAAACAAAATAAAACTAAACAACAAAAAACCAATAACTTATTAAAAATTGGCAAAGAACCTGAATAGACATTTCTCCAGAAAATATGAGTAGCCAACATATAAGGAAATGCTGGACATCCCTAATAAGCAGAGAAATGCAAAAGAAAACCAAACTGAGATATCACCTCACCCCTATTCAAATTGTTATTATATAAAAGACAAGAGGTAAGTGTGAGTGAGAGTGTAGATGACATGATCCTATATGTAGAAAATAAAAACGGGAATTTTTGTACACTGTTGGTTAAGAATGTAAATTGGTACCACCATTATGGAAAACAGTGTGGATCATCTCTTAAATATTAAAACTAGAACTACTGGCCAGGCACGGTAGCTCATGCCTGTAATCCCAGCACTTTGGGAGGCCAAGGAGGGCAGATCACCTGAGGTCAGGAGTTCAAGACCAGCCTGGCCAACATGGTGAATCCCTGTCTCTACAAAAATACAAAATTAGGTGTGGTGGTGTGCACCTGCAGATCCAGCTATTCCGGAGGCTGAGGCAGGAGAATCACTTGAACTCAGGAGGCACAGGTTGCAGTGAGCCGAGATTGTGCCACTGCACTTTAGCCTGGGTAACAGAGCAAGACTCCATCAGAAAGAAAGGAGAGGGGAGGAGAGGAGAGGGAAGGGGAGGGGAGGAAAAAAAGGAAGGAAAGGAAAGGAGAGGAGAGGGGAGGGGAGGGGAGTGGAGGGGGAAAAGAAAGGAAGGGAAGGGAAGGGCTACCATACGAGCCAGCAATGCCTCTTAAGAGTATATATCCAAGTTAATGAAATCAATATACCAAAGAGATATCTGCACTCCCATCTTCACTGCAGCATTATTCACAATAGCCAAGATACGAAAACAACCTAAATGTTCTTATGGATGAAAACATTGGGGTGTATATGTATACAATGGAATATAATTCAGCTTTAAAAGAAGGATATCCTACTATTTGGGACAACATGGATGAAACTGGAAGAGATTATGTTAAGTGAAATAAGCCAGACACAGAAAGAAAAATACTGCATAATATCTCTTATACGTGATTTTTTTTTTTTTTTTTTTTTAGAAAAAAGGAAGACACTCTCCAATACACAGAAAAAAGAAGGTAGATGGTGATTATCAAAGGCAGCTAGGGGTGAAGGGGATAGGGAGTTGCAGGTCTAAGAGTAAAAAGTTGCAGTTATGTAGAATGAGTAAATACAGAGGTCTACAGTATTGCATGAGGACTATACTAAAAGAGTAGAATTTAGGTGGCCTTACCACCAAAGAATAAGGTAACTATGTCAGATAATGGATATGTTAAATTGCTCACCTATAGCAATTATTCCACTATACATATGTATATCAAAAAATCATGTTGTACACCTTAAATTTATACAACAAAAATTTTTTTAATTGCCAATGTCATCGAAGTATATGACAAAGTCATAATTATACCACCATATGTACACATTACATGGTGATGACATGTAATCTTTTAAAAGTCCTGGAAAAGGAGAACAAAAAAAAATTAAAGAGAGGCATCTAAAAATAATTCAAGAATATATAGAAATAGCATATTTTTTCAGATTTGAAAATTTATTGAATGCCCACACAAATGGATGAAAATAAACCCAAATCAAATGACATAATCATGAAATTTTAGAACACCAGAGATAAAGAGATCCTTTAAGTTCTCAAGACAGAATGGGCAAAAAAGAACACATACGAAAGACAAATAATCAAAAAGTCTTCAGGCCAAGCACAGTGGTTCACCTCTGTAATCCCAGCACTTTGGAAGGCTAAGGCGGGTGGATCATGAGGTCAGGAGTTCAAGATCAGCTGAAACCCTGTCTGTACTAAAAACACAAAAAAATTAGCCAGGCGTGGTGGTGGGTACCTGTAATCCTAGCTACTCAGGAGGCTGAGGCAGAGAATTGCTTGAACCTGGTGGGGCAGAGGTTGCAGTGGGCCGAGATCACACCACTGCTCTCCAGCCTAGGCAACAAGAGCAAGACTCCATCTCAAAAAAAAAAAAAAATCTTCAGGCTTCTTAATAACAACACCAGATACTAGAAGGCAGTGGCAATTTAGGGGAACAGAATGTCTTTAAAACTCATTAGAAAATTTATTTTCAAGGTAGCATTCTATACCTAGCTAACATATCAATCAAGAGTCAATAAAGTTAATTATTTTTCAGACATGCGAATCCTTTTTTAAAATTCTAACTCCTTTCCCAAGAAACTACTAGAAAATATGAACCACAAAGTAGAAAGTGTAACCCACAGAGAAGATACAGGATATTAGAAATAAGAGATAGTCCGCAGGAGACAGGTGAAAAGAATCCCCAGAATGACTGATAAGGAATATTACAAGATGAGATCTGTGCTCTAAGAATAAAAGGGCTAGTAATCTATGGTGGAACAGGCCTAGAGGCTCAGTGTATATTACTCACAAATATTAAATAGGTAGAAAATAACCAAAACATCTTTATGTCTTGAGAAAAGAAGAAATTTAGACAAACGGAAAAGACTAGATTCAATTACTGATGAGAACAAAGAAATTTAAAAGAAAAACAAGACAATCAATAGCTCCAGGGAAAACCAAGTTTACAGGAAAGGAAAAGTAATCATAATGTACCACATTGCTCAGCTGTGAATAGCATTTACACAGTCATGATAATATAAACAAACAATATTGATCTAATCAAAATCATGATGTTGATTAGGAGGATGAAAGTATGGCAAGGATATGCACATCTTGGCCAGGCTCAGTGGCTCATGCCTATAATCCCAGCACTATGAGAGGCCGAGGCAAGAGAATCACTTGAGCCGGAGAGTTCAAAACCAGCCTGGGCAACGGAGCAAGACCCTGTCTCTACAATAAATAAATAAATATTCCAGGCATGCTGGCATGTGCCTATAGTCCCAGGCACTCAGAAGACTGAGGCAGGAAGATCGCTGGACCCCAGAAGGTTGAGGCTGCAGTGAGCCATGATTACAGCATAGCACTCCAGCATGAGAAACAGAGTGAAACTCTGTCTCAAAAAAAAAAAAAATGCACGTCTGGTGGAACCAATTCTTAGATAATGTCTAAAACTGAAAAATCAACAAGTAGCTATACAAGGTAGTTTCTTAGTTACGGAAAAGTAAACATCAAAATTGTCAATTAAAAAATTGTAAGTATTTTTTCTGGGGAAAGGAAAGCTGGACAAAAGGGGCAGAGAATTGGTGTTTTATGCAAGAAAGCTTGTACAACTATTCAACCCTTTAAACAATATGCATGAAGAATAATATTTTACTAGAGCTAAAGATACGAAAGATATGGACACTTGTGTTGAGCCATGTACTGTGTTAAGCAGTCTGCACACATTATACTCATTTAGTTTTACAGCAATTCTACAAGTTTTTCCCTATTATTATTTCTATTTTCCAGATGAGACAACTGAGGCTCAGAGGGGTTAAGTAATTACTGTATGATTACAGGGCTCGTAAGCAGCAGAGCTGGAGTATAATCCAGCAGACTGGATCTAGTGTGACCACTCTCAATCACTCTACCAGGGGTTCTTAAAATTTTCTAAGCCTTTACCCCTTGGCATTCCGGTGAAGCCTAGGATCTCCTTTGTTTCAAATGTTGAACACATTAAAAGCCCATAGAGTTACAGTAGAAACTAATTGTATCTCCATAAGAGTTATCAAAATATTTTAAAATGCAATATGACAATATATGTGCTTCCTTGTTATCCCAGTAACAGCAAGTTTCAGTGATAGGTCTACTATCTACCACAATTCCAAAGTAGCCATGAGCAATAACACTAATGGAGTATAAAAATATCAGTTTCTATTCTTGACAAAGTCTCTCAGGTACTGCTAACACAACCATGTATTATTCGGCTGCCTGTATTCAAGAGTAAATTGTGGGGAGACATTAGTGAAAAGAAAAATGCAGTATTTTCCCATCCTAGTTTATAGATCCTGCAAATGCTATTTGTGAACCCAAGAATATACACTATGCTATAGTCTCCCTCTCAACTTTGATAAAGGTATAACTTCAACTTTAAAAATTAAAACTTTAGGGAAAAAGGAAAATAGCACCTGCTATAGCAAGACAAGAAGGGAAGCAGAGAGACTCATTCAGGTGTGAGTGCCACAGCCATAGGGCATGAAACTCCTGGGTGTTTTCCCAACTCTGCAAATGTCCCTTTCCCACACCAACTATAGTCATTGGCTGTATCAGTTATCTATGGTCACAATAATGCCATGTAACACACAACCACAAAACCTCAGTAGCATACAATAATAGCATTTAGCATTTGCACATCTGTCATGTTCAGGTAGGCAGCTCTTCTGACTCTGTCTGGACTCAGCTGTGTGGACTTGCCCACATATGTAAGAGTTGTCTACTTGTCAGCTACTCTAGGATGGTTCTGGTTGGAGTAACTGAACAACCATATTTCTCTCATCTTCCCAAAGGTGAGCCCAAGAATGTTCTCATGGTGATAGCCAAGGCGCAAAAGCAGTTCCAATCACATAAAAGTTTTTTGAAATTTCAGCCTGAGTCACATTAGCTAACATCCCATTGGTCAAAGCATGTAACATGGCTAAACCCAGCATGAGATTCAGAGTGGGAGCGCGCTACGAAGTTACATGGTTACCGTGTGGATATAGGGAGGAGAAAGGAATACGAACCATTAATGTAATTAATCTATCACATTGGGTCTCCTCCCAAGTCTTCCTTCATTGCATTCTCCCTCTTGACTTCCACAGAGCTGCCTGCATCACTAATCTAGTAACATCAAAGGACTGGTGTGGTCTTCAGAGCCCATGACGACTTCACCTCAAGGTCATTTTATAACAACTTGAAGTGCAGCTGTGAGTTGAGCATGGTTGAGGAAGTCAATTCCCAAGCTGTCGGAGCTGCTGCCGACCAACCAACAGTAAATTAGAGAAACTTTTCTAACTGGACCCCCCACTTGGTAGCTTATAGTATAAACCAGGAGAGTACAAACAAACTTCTCTTAACTTTTCTTCACCAACATTGGAGATTTACATTTGTTCATCACCAAATAAAAGAGTACTCTTTTCCCCAGGACACCCACAAAGAAGGGAAAGAGAGAGAGAGAGAAAAGAAGAAGAAGAAGGAGGAGGAGGAGGAGAAGGAGAAGGAGAAGAAGAAGGAGAAGAAGAAGGAGAAGGAGAAGGAGGGGAAGGGGAAGAGGAAGAGGAGGAAGAGGAAGAAGATGAGGAGGAGGAGGAGGAGAAGGAAGAGGAAGAGGAAGAAAAACTTGTCTATTTTGAATTACAGGAATTTCTCATGCATCTATTTCTCTACTACCCTCTCTACTTCTTTTTAAGTGAATGTGATTTGAAACAAATTATTAGCAATCCAAGGTGCTGTGCTGAGAAAAATCACATAGGGATGTAGCTAAAACTCATCTCAACAGGTGAAAAACTTGCCAATTGGCAAAACTAGACACTTTCTGCCTAAATGTCAGGAATATATTATTGATTGCACTAATCTGCTTGAATTCTTTAATGGCTCTTTACTGCCTACCAAATTATTTAGCCTGACGTTCAAAACCCTTCACAATCTAGCTTTAACCAACTTTTCTAACTTGATGTAACAAACTTCTCTTTGTATGGTCCGTGCTTTAGCCAAACCAACCACACTCAGTATGTATTTCTCATATCTGAATTTGCTCGAGAGATCCTCTCTGCCTAAAAAAATTCTTCAAGCCTCTTCTCTACTGTCCAAGCTTACTTGTCCGGATCTAACCCTTCGATCAAGGTCAAGGTCAAATACCACTTCCATGTGTTCAATAAGAAATTATTAAAGGGCTCTTAATTTCCAGACACTTCCTAGAGGGTCAACTAATAGTTCTCACTTAATTTTCAGGAGAGTGTTCTAAAGACTAAGTAGGAGTGGGTTAAACAAATGGGGATAGACAAGGAGTGGGCAGATGAGAGTGTTCCAGTCAGAAGCACCAGCATATTCAAACACACAGTGATATGAGACAAGCGGCAGAGTGTGTTCAGAGGACCATGAGTGTTCAATACTGATAGGGGGATACATCACCCCTTCTCCTGAAGTCTTTCAGATGGCATTTCTCCACCCTTTACTCACTCCATCCCAGGGGAGGTGGACTGACTTATCTGATTGGTAAATTTGGAAAGAATATAAAATAGATCTCCCTTATTTTCTTGGGAGCAAATTACATGCAAAGAGTGGAAGTTCTATGCATGTTCATGTCATGCATTTAATATTTACTGGTTGAAGATTCCCTGAGCCTGCACTGCCTGTGGCTGGATGGATAACTTGCCCAGTTCAAGGAATTCAGCTAGTGGGTCCATGCTACTCACACAAGTTGTGTCATCTAACTTAGCTCTTATCACCGTGAGAGGTGATATTTTGGTATTCTGATTCCTTTGGGTTGTTTCTCTCACGGTGTTCAAAACCCAGAAGAGGAAGGATAAACCTGTGCCTGGGCTCCCCAGAGACTCCAAAAGCCACAGCTAGATCTTAGGTAACAAGTGGGAGGCACAGGCAGATACATAACAGGTGGGAGACAGAGGAGAGATTGCCATAGAGAGTGTTATGTCCCATGCTATGAGTTCTGGCTTTGTTCTGAGAGCAATGGAAAGTCCACAATGGATTTGAAGTAGGAGAGCAACAGAACAAGATTTACATGTCAGAAAAAAGTTGTTCTGACAGGAGAATGGATTGGAGAGTGGGAGATGAGGAAGGGGGTAGGCGAGACTAGAAGAAGGAGATGAGAGGGAAGGTTGAGAAAGTGGAGAGATAATGATATGGATGAAATGTCTGTGCCCCCATCCCATATTAGGTTTCATACACTGAAACCTAATCACCAACGTGGTGGTATTAGGAGGTGAGGCCTTTGGTAGGTGATTAGAGTATGAGGGTGAAGCCTTCATGAATGGGATTAGTGCCCCTATAAAAACGACTCCAGAGAGCTCACTTGCCCCTTTCACCATGTGAGGACACAGCAAGAGGAAGTCCATTGGTGATCCAGGAAGAGGGCCCTCACTGGTCACACAACATGCTATGGATTTCCAGGCCTCTCGAGCTGTGAGACATAAATTTCTGTTGTTTACAAGCCACCCAGTCTATAGCATTTAGCTACAGCAGCCTGAGTGAACAAAGACAGATAGGTGTCTGTCTCAGTCTGTTCACGCTGCTATAACAAAATACCTGAGCCTGGGTCATTTATCTTGCTGTGTCTTCACATGGCAGAAGATGGAAGGGGCAAAAAGAATGGGCCAGCCCCTTCAAGCCCTTTTATAATGACAATAACTCCATCCATGAGGGCCTGTCTTCGTGACTTTATCATGTCCTAAAGCCCTCACCTTTTAACACTATCACATTGAAAATCAAATTCCAGCAAATGAATTTTGGAAAATACATTAAGACCATAGCAGTGACAATTCTAGAGATACTGAAGGAATTTCTTTATGTGGCTTCCACCAACCTTCCCACCAACCCTCCCTACGGCAACTTAGCAAGATCCCATCTCAAATAAGTAAGTAAATAAAAAGTAAACCTGAAAAGAGGGTGGTAGCAATTAGGTATTGCTGCATAAAAAAACACTCTCAAAACTTCTCAGTTCAAGACAGCCATCATTTTTTATTGCTCATGGATTTACAGGTAAAATGGGTGGCCCTGCTAATCTGGGCTGGGCACAGCCTGTATCAACCTTCTCACTCCTGTGTCTGCGGTCATCTTGCAGGTGGCTGAGGACTGATCAATCTAGGATGACTGTCAGCTGGGGTGCTGAGGACTGCTGGACCACACCTCTCTCATCATCAGAAGGTTAGCCTGGATCTGTTCTCATGATGGCAGGACAACTTTCCAGGAGAACAAATCAAAGCATGCAAGGCCACTTGAGGTCTAGACTTAGAACTGGAACAATGTCACTTCTTTTGTATTCTCATGGCCAAAGCAAGTCGCAAAATCCATCTTCAAGATGTAAGTAAGTAGAATCCACCCCATAGGAGGAACTGAAAAGTCACACTGTCAAGGGTATTGATATAGGGAGATGTGGCAAATTGCAGACATTTCTGTGATATCTATCATTGGGAGTTTTCAGACACAATTTTGGCTGGGGCAAAACAATCCCTTTGCCAACAGTGATCAAGACAGAAATCTGCTTGATGTTTATGGATGATGATGATGGTGATGATGATAATTCAGGTAACACATATTGCATCCCTACTGTGTGTTCTTCACTATAAATCTATGGGGTAGATACTGTTGTAATCCCCATTTTAAAGCTATGGAAATTTAGTGTTCACGTGGGGACGTACCTTACCCCAGGTTAGGTAGCTACTAGATAAACCTAGAAACACACATACAGAGTCACCACCTGGAATGCTGGATGGCTGGCTTGGTCCCAGGCTGAAGAGAAAATCTCCCAGAGGTTTCCATCCTTGGCGGGGAGCCACAGAAGGCTTTTCTTTTCATTCGGGTCTCCTTTTCCTATTGCGTCTTTCTCTTTTCATCCCCCTTAATTATCCTTATTCCTGTTAAGTCTGTTTTTCAGATTTAGTCCACAAAGTTTTATAATAAAAGACTTTTTTCACTGCTTTATATATACAGAGAGAGGATTAACAGTTAATTTAATGCTTGCAAAAATGCCTTGAGCACCTTGGAATTAAATATGTCATGTGCAAGTAAATAAATAAAGGCTTTAGAGTGTAGAGACATCAGTCTTCCCTGAATCACATGCTCAGAGCATCTAAATGCATGCATACACACAGCCAGCTGGAAATCTACTGGTTCCACTAGATGGGCACAAAGTGACCCTAGAATTTACACTTTCACATGTGGTATTAGAAGGAAGAGAGGAAAGACAAAATTCCATCACCCACTACATTTGCTACCTCTCTATGGATGAGATGAAAATCAATACAAATGCCTTCCTTAATGTTCAATAATTCAAGTCTTCCCCACCCTACTCCCCCTTTCACTTGCCCCTTTCCCATCCTTTCCATTCCCTTTTTTCCCTGATCCCACTGTCTTCCCCAAAACTACTCCACTTCTCCAGGATCCAACCAGCTGGCAGATGACTTGGCAATGAAGGGAGAAGAGAAGAATCTGCTTTTAAAAAGAGAGAGCAAGGCTGGGCACGGTGGCTCACACCGGTAATCCCAGCACTTTGGGAGGCCAAGGCAGGCAGATCACAAGGTCAGGAGTTCAAGACCAGCCTGGCCAACATGGTGAAATCCTGTCTCCACTAAAAATACAAAAAAAATTAGCTGGGCATGGTGGTCCATGCCTGCAGTCCCAGCTACTGGGGAGGCTGAGGCAGGAGACTAGCTTGAACCTGGGAGGCAGAGGTTGCAATGAGTGGAGATGGCACCACTGCCCTCCAGCCTGGGCAACAGAGCAAGACTCCATCTCAAAAAAAAAAAAAAAACAGAGAGAGAAAGCAAGAGGGAAAAGATAGCAAAACGTGTGAAGCTTACATAGAGACCATCTCTAATATATTACCATTACTAATTATCATTTTATATTGATAATGAGTTGATCAGCACTACCATCTCTGGCTGTTGCAGAGAGAGCTTCCACTCATGCTACCCAGGGCCAGGTTCTTGAATCTCAGCCTAGTGTCCCCTGATAACTCAATATTCATGGAAGCCTGGGGTTCAGGGAACCTCTAGAACTTATAAGTTAGATGAAATTGCATGTCAACTTCATGTGGGTCGCCCTCAAACCAATTAAAACATCCTCTTTGTGGAGAAACTATTTCAAGTCCTGAACAACTGAAATGTAAGTGGATTTTTAGGGTAAAATTTATGGTTGCCAAGGTAAGGTGGACTTAGAATCAGGTGAAGCAAATCACATGAGAAAGAGCCTCCAGACATCAGGCCAACTCCTCCAACCCCATGTTGCATTTTTGTGAGTTATTTTCCTCCTGAGGCTGCTCTTGATTTTTATTTTGACCAGATTAGAGGAGCAGGCAGAGAACACATCACGTGAGTGGCCCTAACCTCCAACAGCTATAAAGGAAACATGGAATGGAACATGGACAAAGAAACCAATGTACGTTGGGTGTCTCTAGGCACTAGTTTTGTTTTTTTGCATTGTCTCATCCAATCCCCCATGCCCTTAAATAGTATTATTAGAAGAATGCAGAAGGCAGCATTTGCACATCAGAAATGTTATTATACGCCAAGACGGGTGGATCACCTGAGGCCAGGAGTTCGAGACCAGCCTGGCCAACGAGGCAAAACCCCGTCTCTACAAAAAAACACAAAAATTAGTTGGGCATGGTGGCATGTGCCTGTAATCCCAGCTACTCGGGAAGCTGAGGCAGTAGAATCACTTGAACGCGGGAGGTGGAGGTTACAGTGAACCAAGATTGCACCACTGAACTCCAGCCTGAGTGACAGAGTAAGACCCCATCTCAAAAAAAAGTTATTATATGCATTTTACGCATTAAGTTGGTGAAGTTCACTATCTTGCCCTACACCTCTCACACAGCTCTTAAATAGACCATGAGCTCCCTAAAGAGAGGGCAGGATCTTACTCCCCTATGCTTCCCAGTACCTAGTATAGGACATGGCAGAAAATAGGCATTCAGTACACATTTGCTGAAGGAAAATTAAGAACGTGGCAGAAGTAGAATTCAAATCCATTCCTATCAGTCTTCAAAATCTTTGCATCTTTCTACAGAACCAACTTATCTCTGTGTGTAAGATCACAGAATTGTTTTTTTTTTTTTAATTTTAAGTTCCGGGATACATGTGCAAGATGTGCAGGTTTGTTATATAGGTAAAGGTGTGCCATGGTGGTTTGCTGCACCTATCAACCCATCATCTAGGTATTAAGCCCCACATGCATTAGCTAGACCACAGAGTTTTTGTCTTCGCATAGGAAATGCCCACAACTGAAAATATATTAAGTTATTTGTCTATTCATTCATTCCTTCCTGAAAATGAAATATCATTGGATGCATCTTCTTTGACAGAACAGGTATTCTTTATTCCTCTCCTACAGTTGTACTTTCATTTCCTTTTCTTCCTTCCAGAGATGGGTCTTGACCTAGAGCCTCTCTCAATACTGAATTCATTCATTTTTCTAATGGAAAGCTATTTGAATAAGACCCTTGAATTCTTGGCAAACTACCTATTTAGGTATAAAAACTGCATGCAGATGGGAAATTCTTATTACTAATTAGAGCTTTAGGCCCAATCCCACAAAACTCCGCATGAACTTTATCTCACTCTTCCCTTTACTTTCAGTGCCTAGAACAGTGCCTGAAACTTAATGGAAACTCAGTATTCTCTGAATGAATGAGTGAATGGAATCCCCACAACACAGATGGCAAACACATGTGCCTTCACTCCTCTCTTCCGTGTTCACTTCAAACCTCACTAGGGATCCTAGTAATCATCCTGTGAGGCCAACAGAGGGCCTCTGCATCCTTCTACACAGCACCCCGAGCAGCAACTACCAACCTACTGAAGGCAGCGTTTGCAAAGAAATTTATTTACACTTTTTTTTTTGTGGTTGTCTACCCTGGGAAACTGAGCTGAGTCACACATCAGTAAGGAAGACCCTCACCTGTCCCTCCGGCTTAAGGCCAAGGCTAGGTGACCTCAGTCACGTGGCCTGTTCCTTTGTGGCTTTATTTCTAATGGGTCCACAATCTAGTCATCTGATATGGCCCAGAGATGTACTGGAGCTGGCTTGGATTGGCTCAGGAGAACAGATTGTCCCTGTCTCTTCCGACATCTGTGTACAGTAACGTCATGGTTGTCAGCTTGAAATCAGCCGTAGGTTGGTGTATTTACACCATGGGAATCAGCAAGGGCTACAAATCAGGGCTTGTTTGTGTGTGTATATGTTTTTCTGAGACCCAGTTGTTAAGCCAGCACATCATTTCCTTGACTCTCTCAATTCCAGTAACTAAAGGAGATGAAGAAGAACAAGTCCAAAGGGGATGTTTTTTTCCTCACTGAGAATAGAAGTGGCTAAACCACTCATGGGGGGCTTCCTTCCCAGTGGTCACAGCCTGGTTCCTTTCGTCTTTTTTTTTTTTTTTTTTTTTTTGAGATGGAGCCTTGCTCTGCCTCCAGGCTGGAGTGCAGTGGTGTGATCTCGTCTCACTGCAACCTCTGCCTCCCGGGTTCAAGAGATTCTCCTGCCTCAGCCTCCCAAGTAGCTGGGATTACAGGCATGTGCCACCACACCCAGCTAATTTTTGTATTTTTAGTAGAGATAGTGTTTCACCATGTTGGCTGGGATGATCTCGATCTCTTGACTTTGTGATCTACCCGCCTCGGCCTCCCAAAGTGCTGAGATCACAGGCATAAGCCACCACGCCTGGCCTCCAGCCTGGTTTCTATTTGGCCTTATAAGGAAAGTAGAGGAAAGGAAGCAGCCTGGGTTACCAAAGAGATAGAGAGAACAGCTTTCTACATGTAAGAAAGAAGTTTTAGCCTCTTTGTTCTTCCTGTGAAAAACCATCCATACTCCTAAGCAGCTGTGAACATCATGAGAGCCTCTTTTTCCAAGTGGTAAAGTGAGGTTGAGTGGGAAAAGGACCTGGAGAGACTCTTTTTTATACTTTATACTTTTCGTACTACCTGCATCAGAATCACCTTAAAGGCCTGTTAAAATTTTCATTACCCAGGCAGCACCCCGCATGAGCTGACCAAACCCAGAAAATGGGATTTAGAAAAATGCGTTCCAATGGACACATTTTAACCAAATGACTCTTAGGAGACAAGGGATTCTTAGGCTGGCTAATTTGAAACAGACTTACTCAGGGAGGTCATTTAGAATGCACGTATCTGTGCCCCGTACCAAGAGATTCTCATCAGTAGGTCTGGAGTGGGCCCCTAAAACCTACGGTTTGATAAAGCTCTCTAGGTGATTTTGATGACAGTTGAAGTTAGACTTTGTAATCAACACATATTTTTCTCTCTTTTTCTTTTTTTAACAAGATGAGCTTTTTTTTTTTTTTTAATTCCTGACTTTGCAAAAACAGGCCTCATTTAATGTAGAAAATCTGGATACCTTCTTTAGATAAACACCACCAAACCCTTATAAAACACAGGCATTATGCTCTTTGTTTGGATTAGTTTCATTTAATCCACAAAATAAGCCTACAAGATATAGAAATAGATGGTATTATTATTCCCACTTTAAAATCAAGGAAGCCAAGGCTTAGAGGCATAGTTATTTGTACAAAACCGAAAAACTAAAAAGAGGTAAAGCTGGAATTCTTACTCAAACAATTTGATGCTAGAACTCACACCTTTAATTACATGTACTGCCGCCCAAATGTTTTCATAAATACAAAGATAATAACTGAAAAATGTCACTGAGTGAGCAAAAGGATTTAAAAAAAAAAAAAAAACTAATCCTGAAAATTTCTCCAAAATATAAAATTCTACTTTTCTGGATATTCTTCATACAGAAGTCTGAACTGGTTACAGTAGATTTATATGGGTGGAAATCAATCAGAATAATTGGGTTTGGGTAGAGCAAAATAACCAATAAATTAGCTTGAACATGACCTTTCAGAGGCAGCCTTGTATTTTGTTCCAATTCTCTGGCCCTGTTTCCTCGCTCGTTAATTGGTAGTTTGTTCTCTAGTCAGGCTGCCTGTTTCTGACACTGGGTAATGCATTATGAGATAATCTACTTTCCGTGACTTCACACAGTTCCCATGGCAACCATCAATGCCATTTCCCTGCAGGATGGCTGCTTCGTTTGTTTCAAATGTGTTGCAGAAATGTAAACATCTTTGATTAAAAAAATGTCCAGTGAAAGGACAGTCCACACAAAGAATAACATTTATATAATTACAAGAGGGAAACAATCTATAATTATTCCAACTCCTTTCCCCTGGATTAAAAAAAAAAAAAGTTGTAGAGTTTTTGGTTTTTGGGGTTTTTTTTCCTTTTCTTTTTTTTTTTACCTTTTTGTTTGGGGAAAGAAAATAAGGAAAAGGTTTGCTTAACAAGACATAATTGAAGAGACACAACACTTCTGTGGAAAGACCTTGTTCATTAAAGCTATAGTTCATTAGAGTTAAGGTGGCAACATTTCTGGAAGGAAATAACCATATCCATCAACCCAGCCACCACAAATACAAGAAACGTGCTTACCTAGAACATCCCTGGAGGTGACCCCGCCATGCTGACGTTCAGAGTTAATAATCCAAGATTCTCTTGGTCAATGGAGAGAGTTCTTTATATTTAATTCTTGCTGGTTAGCTATCTGTTTCTTCAAAGTGAGCTCCAGAGGAAATTTCTCATCTCAAGATGCGACCCCAAAGTAAAGGAAGTCAGCATATGGATCCTTTTTATAAGTTTTATTGAGGTATAATTGATAATAGTTTAAAAACTGAACATATTTAATGGACACAGTTGGATCTCTTTGGGCATAGCATCTGGATCTTGCTAACATCTATGCTGTGTTCTTTCTTATTTATTTGCACATGCTGTTCCTTCTGCTTTGCATGCTTTTCCCATCTTTTAGGTCAGCTCATTTCACTCATCCTTTGGAATTAAATTCAGGTATCACCTCCTCCAGCAAGCTGTGGTAGGCAGAATTCAAAGACAGTCTCTCAACATTGCAGCCCCAGTGCACACACCTTGTAGAACCCCCTCTTCTCAAGTGTGGGTGGTACCTATGACTACAGTGAAACATCTCTCCTGAGATTAGGTTTATCCAAAGGGAGCTTATCCAGAGAGGGCCTGACCCAATCAGGTAAACTCCTTCAAAGGAGTTTAATACTGGGCTACCAGTTTCAGCTTAGACACATAAAGAGCTTAGAAATTGTCCCACCCTTATACTATGAAACAAACTGGACAACCTAAAAATTAATAAAGTTATTGGATCCATAAGAGAACTGAAGAGGTGGGAAAAACTGCTGTTCTAAAATCTGGAGAGACAGTCTTGTCCAGAGAAACACAGATGAGATCTGCTTACCTAGAGCAGAAACCTCTGGAATCATAAACTGGTAGGAAGACTCAAGTGGGAGTTTTGGCAAATTGCTGGAGCTTGAGTGTAGACAGCCGTGAGTGAGAAACTCCTAGGAGCCACATTCTTACAGGGTCTGCCACATTTGTGAACTTTACCTCCAGGAACCTTCCCAAGTTTACGAGATTCAAGAAAGATCCTCTTTCTGGCTCTGGTAGGAGGAGAGGAAGAGTAATCCTTTAGAAATACAACTAGACTAATCTTTTCCATAACAAAGGCTACACTTCAGGAGAAGTTCCAGAGCCATCCAGCTGGAGGGAAAAGAATTCTTCCCATTCCAGTCCTCTTCAGCATCTCACCTAAGAAGAAAAGAAACAAAGTCAGCAGGTCCGGGGCTTGGTGGCTCACATCTGTAATCCTAGCACTTTGGGAGGCCAAGGCAGGTGGATTAACTGAGGTCAGGAGTTCAAGAGCAGCCTGGCCAACATGGTGAAACCCCATCTCTACTAAAAATACAAAAATTAGCCAGGCTTGGTGGCGCATCCCTGTAGTCCCAGCCACTCGGGAGGCTGAGGCAGGAGAATTGGCTTGAACCCGGGAGGCGGAGGTTGCAGTGAGTCGAGATTGTGCCACCTTCACTCCAGCCTGGGTGAAAGAGTGAAACTCCATCTCAAAAAAAAAAAAAAAAAAAAAGAAAAGAGAAAAGAAAGAAAGAAAGTCAGCAGAGGTCAGGGCTTCAAAGAAATAAGAACACTGGAGATGTGGCAAAAATAAAAAGCTATATGACTGGAGAAATACTTGTGAAGATCACAGCTCTAAGACACAAGCTCACTGGAAGACAGATTTAACTGGAAGGCTGTAGAATGTTCCCCTTTACTCATTCCTTACCACTATACTAACAGGGCTCCAGTAAAATGACAGCAGTTCATAGGTGAAAGACCTGCAACACAGATCCTCTCTGAAGAGAAAAATTCAGTCACAATTAAAGAAGGGAGACACTGGAGATTTTTGAAGCCTCTGGCAGTATAGTGACAACAAACATTAAACAGAGCTCAACTTCTAGCAAGATTATTTACCCCAAGTCCTGTTACCTCACTCAATATGTCTGGCCTTCAACAAAAAAATGACAAGGTATGCCAAAAAGCAAGAAAAAACAGTGAAGAGATAAAACAATCATCAGAATCAAATTCAGATATGATGTTAGAATGATCTGACAGAGAATTTAAAATAACCATGATTAATATATTATGGGAAAAGGAGACAACATTCAAGAATAGATGGGTAATATAAGCAGAGACTCTAAAATACAATCAATGAAATGAATGCTAAAACCAAAAAACACAGTACCAGAAATAAAGAATGACTTCAGTGGGTTCATCAGTAGACTCAACATAGCCAATAAAAGAATCAGGGAACTGGAAGATAAGTCAATAGAAACTTCCCAAAATAAAATACAAAGAGGAAAAACAAAAACAAAATATAGAAACAGAACACAGCATTCAAGAACTGTGGGACAACATCAAAAGGTGTAACATATGTATAATTGGAGTACTATTTCTATAAAAAGAATAGAGAAGAAAAAATATTTGAAGTAATAATGGCTAAGAATTTTCCATAATTAATGACAACATAAAACAATAGATCCAGAGAATAACAGTAATAGTAAAAACAAAAATATCTAGATGTATCATATTCAAACTGCAGAAAACCAAAGGAAAATAGAATAATCTTGATAGAAGACACAAGGAAAATACACTTTACTTACAGAAAAACAACAAAAAGAATTACAGGAGACTTTGCATCAGAAATTATGCAAGCAAAAAGAGAGTGAAGCAAAATATGTACAGTTGAAAGGAAACAAACTCACTAACATAGAAATCTATATCTATGAAAATAAAGAACTAAAGACTTTCGCAGACAAACGAATGGGAAAGATTTTTATCACTAACAGATGTCCCTACAAAAAATGGGAAAGATTTTTATCACTAACAGATGTCCCTACAATAAGTGTTAAAATAAGTTCTTCGGGCAGGAGGAAAATCATATAGGTCACAAACCTGGATGTGCATAAAGAACAAAGAACCAGAATAATATATATGATGATTATATCATATGAATAAGTGTAATAAATAACTGCTATATCATAAGAGATGGAAGGAGGGAATTGGGAATACTGTGTTAAGATACATGTACAACCTGTGAAGTGATGTAGTGTTATGTGAAAGAGGACTTCAATTATAATTGTCCCTCAGTATCCACAGGGTATTGGTTCCAGGACCCTGTATACCAAAATTCAGAGATGCTTGAGTTTCTTACATAAAATGGCATAGTACAGTCGGCCCTCTGTACCCATGGGTTTCACATCCATAAATTTAACCAACTGCAAACAGAAAATATTTGAAAAAAAATTATGTCTGTACTTAACATGCACAAACTTTTTTCTTGTCATTAGTCCATAAACAATAGAGTACAACTATTTACATAGCATTTAGATAGTATTAGGTATTATAAATAATCTAGAGATGACTTAAAGTATATAGGAGAATGTGCATAAGTTTACACATAAATACTATGCCATTTTATCTCAGGGATTTGAGTATCCCAGAATTTTGGTATCCCCGGGTGGTCCTGGAACCAAAATCCCTGCAAGGATCCTGAATGATAACTGTATTTACCTATAACCTATGGACATCCTCCCCATACATTAAATCATGTCTAAATTACTTATAATACCTAATATAATATAAATGGTATGTAAATAGTTGCTATACCATATTGTTTTTCTAATTTTTATTAACTTTATTGTTCTATTTCCAAATATTTTTGATCCAAGATTGATTGAATCTCAGGATGGGGAACGCATGGATACAGAGGGCTGACTGCATTTGTAAATATATATTATAAACTATAAATACAACGTGGCATCCTGGATATAAAAGTTTGCTGCATGAGCCAGGCACGGTGGCTCATGCCTATAATCCCAACACTTTGGGAGACTGAGGCGGGTGGATCATCTGAGGTCAGGAGTTCGAGACCAGCCTTGCCAACATGATGAAACTCCATCTCTACTAAAAATACAAAAATTAGCCAGGCGTGGCAGTGCACACCTGTAATTCCAGCTATTTGGGAGGCTGAGGCAAGAGAATCGCTTGAACCCAGGAGATGGAGTTTGCAGTGAGCTGAGATCCCACCACTACACTCCAGCCTGGGTGACAGATTGAGACTCTGTCTCTAAAAAAAGAAAAGCTTGCTGCATGAGCAAATGGAGTTATAATGTAAGAAAGATGTAACAATGCAAAAACAAGGAACAGGAAAGGATATTAGGAAAAAGCCTAAGGAAATCTGAATAAAGTATGGATTTTAGTTAATAATAATGCATTAATATTGGTTCACTAGTTTTGGAGAATGTACCATACTAATGTGAGACATTAATAATAGAGAAAAGTGGGTATGATATATATGGGAACTCTGTGTTATCTTTTAACTTTCTCATAAATCTCAAACAACTCTAAGTTAAAAGTT